>NC_000005.10:18792669-19095699 GCF_000001405.40 Homo sapiens | reverse complement strand
AAACAAGCAATGGGGAAAGGATTCCCTATTTAATAAATGGTGTTGGGAAAACTGGCTAACCATATGTAGAAAACTGAAACAGACCCCTTCCTTAAACCTTATACAAAAATTAACTCAAGCTGGATTAAAGACTTAAACGTAAGACCTAAAACCATAAAAACCCTAGAAGAAAACCTAGACAATACCATTCAGGACATAGGCATGAGCAAGGATTTCATGACTAAAACACCAAAAGTAATGGCAACAAAAGCCAAAATTGACAAATGGGATCTAATTAAACTAAAAAGCTTCAGCACAGCAAAAGAAATTATCAGCAGAATGAACAGGCAACCTACAGAATGGGAGAAAATCTTTGCAATCTATCCATCTGACAAAGGGCTAATATCCAGAATCTATAATGAACTTAAACAAATTTACAAGGAAAAAACAAACAGCCCCATAAAAAGTAGGTGAAGGATATAAACAGATACTTCTCAAAAGAAGACATTTATGTGGCCAACAAGCATACGAAAAAAAGCTTATCATCACTGATCATTAGAGAAATGCAAATCAAAACCACAATGGGATGCCATCTCACGCCAGTTAGAATGGTGATCATTAAAAAGTCAGGAAACAACCGATGCTGGAGAAGATGTGGAGTAATAGGAACGCTCTTACAGTGTTGATAGGAGTGTAAATTAGTTCAACCATTGTGGAAGACAGTGTGGCAATTCCTCAAGGATCTAGAACCAGAAATACCATTTGACCCAGCAATCCCATTACTGGGTATATACCTAAGAAAATGTAAATCATTTTACTGTAAAGATACATGCACACATATGTTTATTGCATCACTGTTCACAATAGCAAAGACTTGGAACCAACCCAAATACCCATCAATGACAGACTGGATAAAGAAAATGTGGCACATATACACCATGGAATACTATGCAGCCACAAAAATTATGAGTGCGTGTCCTTTGCAGGGACATGGATGAAGCTGGAAACAATCATTTTCAGCAAACTAACATGAGAACAGAAAAATAAAATCTCACAAATACTTTTTTTAAACAACCTAATACAAAAATAATTTAATATTATTTCTATCTTTAAAGAGATGGAATTACAAAATATTTTTTTAGACTACCATATATTTTTCAAAATATATATACATTGCTTATATTACTGTATTTATTTTTAAAAACAGAAAACCAAGCACTGCATGTTCTCACTCATATGTGGGAGTTGAGCATTGAGAACATATGGACACAGAGAGGGGAACATCACACACTGGGGCCTATTGGGGGTGGGAGGCTAGGAGAGGGATAGCATTAGGAGAAATACCTAACGTAGAGACAGGTTGATGGGTGCCACAAACCACCATGGCACATGTATACCTATGTAACAAATCTGCACGTTCTGCATGTATACCATAACCTAAAGTATAATAATAATAATAAAATCATTTTCTGTTTTTTTTTTTTTACCCTTAGGTATGTCTACATATTTTAATATTTTTTCTTTAACACTATTTCTTTCAAGTTATTGAAACATACTACATTTCTGGTAATATTTTACTATCTTCGGGCTAGTCTCAATTTACTCACATTCACCAGCTCAGATCTCAAGTGCTTTCCCTAGTTTGCTGTGCGGGCATAATTGTCAAGTGTCTCATGTGGTGGTGGGCTGGTAGACCACAAGAGAGGACTAACGCAGAAACGTTGGTCCGAGCCATTAAGCGTCCATATTGGCTGCCTTCTCTGTCCTCCAAAGAAGTGCATGGTGAATTGGCCTCTGAAAGAACTTCTTGCCTGAATCATCTATATGATAACCGAAAATTATTAGTACATGAAAGGGCTGCAACTATATGTTAAATGCTATCCTCATAAACTGACTATTAATGGAATTGACAAATCACCGTAGCAGAAATATAGAAGACAGAGAGAGTTGTTGAATTTAAGCTATCATCTTCCACAGTATTTCTAGTAGTGGCTTTAAGTTAGTTTCTTGTCCATTGGAAGAATGTTAACTTAGAATTGCAATAGGATAAATGATTACATTTTAAAATCAGCAGAAACACATACATTAGAAGCATGTTGACTAATATTAACCTTCCTATTGTTCTATCACATTCTGGAATTTATTTTATTTCAACATTAAAACTCCCAGTTCTATAATTTACATCTTTTGTTTTGTAATGCTGCTTCCACTGGAAAAATAGAAAGCTTTAATAAATAGAAGAACATAGTATTTATATGTATTAAGCTATTTATTAAAAATATACTTAAGTAAATCCAAACAAAATATCAACTGTGCTTTTAATTTTGACTTAATAATTTTAATAATATAAACCTAAAATTAATGTAAAGTAATAAGCAGATTAAAAAATTATTTTGAAAACGGTGATCTGCGTTCATAAGTCTTTGGATTATAACAATGAATTTTAAAAACTCATTTCTCTCTTATTCTGTCTCTCAGAAAGAAATGTCATCTATCTGTCTAGCCAGTTTATAAAACCATGAGCAACTTTGGTCAAATGTGATACTTTATTAAGAGTAGAAAAAGAAAAATCTATATTCTTGTCTCTTTTCTTACAACTAAATCCACATGGGTCAAATACTTAAATCCAAAAACTTTTAAACACAGAAATTCTAAAAGGGAAGTAATTGAGCATTTTTAGAATATCGAAGATGTGAACTTTCTAAGCATGAACTCCAAAGACACAATCAAAGACTGAATACATGGATACATACCTGCATTGTTCAACGAAACTACCTTATTAAAAACAAACTTTCAATATGAAAATAATACATAAACAGAATGTTAAAAGGCAAATTATAAAATAATCCAAAGACATATAGATTAAAATCAATAATGAGCTATTATTATCTCTATGAAAAAAGTAAACATTTTAATTACAAGATATTTCAGATGGTGCCCCTTAAGTTTTAGCTCAGCATGTAGACACCAGATGGAGTATGTACTTTTGGCATCCCTTACTGCTGGGTGTGGCAATATAATGGTTATCTGGACAATTGAAAGCAAGCAAAAATTGTTCCAGATTATGACATTATAAACTCACGTTTGTCCTGTCCACTTCCTCTTCCCGACTTCCTACTTCCTGGGAAATGGGAGAGAGTGGAACAGTGCCTTCAACTTTGAGGGGGATCACATTTGGCAATAGAGGCATCACGTCAAACCCTTGACTATCTCTTCATCTTTTTTATATGAGAAAAATAAACTCTTCTTTAAGCTATGGCATTTTGAGTCCTCATTATCACACCATGTTAGAAATCCTCTCTTCTGAGGTTTCATTCTTCTCCTCTTGAGTTGTATACCTCCTGTTTCTAGAGTCTTTGCAAAATGTAAACAGCTTACAAATTCCTCAGGAGCAAAGTTGAAGAATTACTGCTTAATTAGATTATAGATCACATATATTCTACTTCAAACTTTAAAATGTATCTAATTTTTGGTTCGGCTTTTTAAAAGACAACTATAAAAAATGTCATTCTTACTGAATTTCATGATTGGTTTAGACTTTCCTCCTTTAATAATTAAATAATTTAGTACAAGCTATAGCAAATGGAGTTGCTTCTGACACACAGTATTTTCAATGCTATCTGAATTACCAGAGAGATAATTTTAACCATTTTTTGTACAGAATCTTTTTCTAAATTTTACCTTTCAACAAGTGATACTGATCAAGGATTACAAGTATATACAAAGGAGAGATATATTTTCCATTTGGGATATTTTTGTGTCAATTAGGTTTCTAATTAAAGAAACATTAATAATAGTGATGACCTCGGATCAGTTTGTCATGACTAAGAAAGATATTTTATTTCTCTTTTAAAAGTAGGCTCTAAATTTTCTGCTAATACTACTAAGGATTTTCCCCATGTTCTTATTTGAAAGAAAAAGGTCTTTTTCCATAGATACCCAAGAGAGTCTGTGGACTACAAATAAAGAACTCCTGATACAATGAAGAGGAGACTATCAAGGAAAATACAATGTAGTATTTTCCTACTATTTACTTTTCAAAAGTAAAATTTAATTTTCACAGGACTTTTTTAAAAGTACAATTAAATGTTTTTAAAGACAAATTATAGGACTAGATAGAATATGTGTACTAAATTCACTGGAATATATTTTCAAGAGAATTTCAGAAGAAAAAAAGTATTACAATCATTGCATTTTATCAGTACACCATATTTGATTAATGTATAAATAAAGATTTTTTTCTATTTGAATGCCTCTAAAATAAGGATGTGTTTTGGAAGTTATTTAGTCTTATCCTTCCTGTTAGCTGTCATAATAAAGATGCCATCTCCTGAGTATATACAGATATGGTCATAACTATTCAAGTTGTTGTTTTTACAATTTAGTTATTTGTATATTGTCACCACATATGTGAAATTAATTACCTCTCATTCTCTTCAAAATGATTAGAATATAATTTGAAATGAAACTAAAAGTGACTTTTATATACCTCCAGTGGGTGACTAGAGGATAGGGTCACAGCACTGGAAACAAAAATAATGGTATAAATTTGATATTATTGAAACAAATATAATTGGATGAAAGACTGCAATCCTTATTTCAAAGCACAAACTGAGTTTTATGAAGCATAAGAATGCGAAATACACATATGTAAATGAAGCTGGGTTACAAAAAGATTGATTGTAACACAGTGTGAAAAGCAACTGGGGACACAGAAAATCAAAGGATCTTTTATATCAATGCATTTCACAACCATAATGGGCCAGGAAAATAATTGAAAAAAATCATTGCATTAGAATTTAATTAGAAGCGTTTTAAAATAAGTGGTATAAGAAAAAATGGGACAACTTATGAGAATACTGTCTTATATTTTGTAAAATATATCATTTAAACTACAAAACATAAAAATGAACAACATATGAAGAAAAATTCCAAACAGTTTCAATATTTTCCCTAATTCCTTTCCAGTTTCAAGTCTTTCTTTATGCACTCAGCACTTCAAAATAGATTTTTAAAATTAATACACATATATACTCATTTTGTTTATATAAATAGATACAAGTATATACATACACTCTATATATACACTCGATATACACATTTAGTATGTGTATATGCTTATATACATATAAAGTGTGTATATATGCACATATACACACAAGTTAATTAGCTTTATTTTTCCAGATGACTATTTGTTGGTTTATTTAAGAATACATTTTCAATAACTCTAGCTAATAGGAAATTTTTGAAGTAGAAAATGAAAATAATAATATTTCAAAAGTTGAAGACCATGGTAAAACATTTTGTTTAGTGGACTCCATTTACTGTTCATTGTACAATAAATGTAAGCTTTGTATTTCCACATTAAGATGAGAGAAAATGAGTTAATTTTGTACCAGTTTTAATAGTTCAACATTTTAACTAATTTAATTGTTTACTATGTTTACATTAGTGAAAGAGAATGCTTAGTTTATTTGATGCACAACACATATTGTGACATACATGTATACCTGAATGCTCACAAGGAGAAAACAGACTGAATTCAATATTCTCAACCTATTAGAAGTGATAGATCCTTGGCAGAGCTCATACTTGAATGAATGGATAAATAATATGCTGCTGTGAAATAAGAGTTCAACATTGAATCCGTTTCAGGAACATGTGCTCACTTACAAAAATTAATATATTATGTTCATTCCCAATGTAATTTTTTTTAGATTTTAAATATTAAACCTACTTTATTATCTTAATTTGCCAATCTGTCAAAGCCTCTGAATAAATTATTTTATTAAGATTTATAGTCTATCCGTAGTCTATTTAACACATTATTTTTAACTGATTTTTATATAATAAACATGTTCTATTTATATATCATTTTAAGGAGAAATAAATCTAATTCAGTTCTCCTGATTTATTCTTTCAGAAACAGTCTCAGAATGATGATTATAGGTTCTACCTTGTATTTTCCTTGATAGTCCCCTCTTTATTGTATCAGGAGTTCTTTATTTGTAGTCCACAGACTCTCTTGGGTATCTATGGAATCTATGGATAAAATTCAAATTTCCTTTAAACTTGGATGAGAAAAATGCATTTCCTTGGTTTTATTGACCTCTTACTGCAAAGTACCTTTTTCTTTCAAACAAGAACATGGGGAAAATCCTTAATAGTATTACCAGTATCTATGACTCTGTTAGGAATAAGAATATTTTATTATATATATGACTTGTAAATATCATTGCATAAAATAATAGTAGTTATTAAACCTGACATTAAATTTTATTATTCCATGTTAATAAAAAAGCAAAACAGTTTATAGATGAAACAAAATCATGAATGCTTCCTATCTTTTTGTAACTGTATATCTATATGTTTCATCTTATTCTACATATTTTATAAATTATAAAACATTCTGATATATACATGTATATATAGAGAGAGATATATAATGTAAAAAAAAGTCTAGAATTGATTGCATTTTCTTCAAAATAGTGTCTTCCAAATAGTGTTAAAGCAAAAAACAAGAGTAAAAGAAATAGATAATATATTAACTGGTGTCTTGGTCAGCATAGGCTAGCCCTTATGAGGCAACAAGTGACCTTCTATATCCCAGTGACTCACAAACACTTATTTATCTCATGCTACATTTTCATCATTGTCTCATTTTGTTTTATAGTTTCAAACACATGAAGCAGCTTCCATCTGTAACACATCTAGTAGAGAACAAAAAATGATCATGGCTACACATCACTTTACCACGCTCACCTCCTCAAGAGTGTGACCTAGAACTCATATCCAAATTCACTGACAAGTTATGTGGCCAAGCTGGATTCTGCAGGAAAGATTAATGGATAATGGGCCCTCATATAACCTACTACACTCAGACAAAAGAAGGTGTGTCTGGAGAGATGTAGCGCTAGTGAAACTATATTCATTTATTAATTTAACAAATACTAATCATCTATGGGAGACAATATGATAAGCTGTGGTAATAGATTGGTAAAGATAATACTTGTGGCCCCCACCTTAAAATAACTCACATAGTCACAGAAAAATATGTACGTGAAATAAACATTACAATAATACACAATGAATATAATAATAGATTACATCACACAGATGGGAATGGAGTCAAGTGGATGAAGTCAAGAGAAACTCAATAGAATGTTAAAACCCAAATTATAGATTGGATTTTTAACATTAATGAGAAAAAGTGTTCAAGGTGATTTCTAGGTTTCCAGCTTGGTAATTGGATATATCATGAAAACATTTGGTGTAATAGAACACAGAGGAGGAGGAGGGCAATTACTATGGACAAAGGATTAATTCAACTTTGTCTATATTGAATTTTAAATAAGTTTAAAACACGAAAGTGGCAACGGAGATTGAAACTCAGATTGGCATTCTATTATTGAGATGGAATTGATATTTTGATATTCTAATTGAATATTTTTGAATGAGGAATTTGAGATTGCTAGCCTGAGTTATTTAAACAGTTGTGATACGCCTGACAGAATCAGGAATTTCTAGGAAACAGTAGTGTCATAGATATTGAATATAGATTTTAAGGTGCTCTTTTTAACTGTGCAAATATGGAAGATTCAAGTGGAGCTATGCAGTTGAAAATATTATATAGTTGAAAATAGAAGATATTTAAAATTTGAAACCATGATTTAGAGAAGTGCTATCTCTAAAGGTAGTTGCTCTCATTTCTAGGGACTGAATGTTTATATCCCTCTAAAACTTATATTAGGAAATCTAACTTCCAATGTGATGGTCTTAGGATGGGGAGAGGGTGGTGCTGGGTGATAAGTTAATGAGGTTAGATTCCTCCTGAGTTGATTAGTGCCCTTATCAAGACACACCATAGCACTTCTTCCCCTCTCTCTCTGCTGTCTTTCATGTGAGGATAAAATGAGAAGGCAGCTGTCTGAAAACCAGGAACAGGACCTTCACCAGACAGATCTACTAGAACATTGATCTTGGACTTGCCAGACTCCAGACTGTAAGAAATAAATGTTTATTATTTAAGTCACTCAGTCTATAGTATGTTATTATGGCAACTGGACTAAGACATTCTTGTAAGAGTAGAAAGATCTGAGAACCAAGGCCTGAGTTTTGATTCATATTTTTATGTAGGATTAAGATGAATCAGTGCTAGGAAACAATCAGAAATTAACAAAGATCAAACAAAAGAACCAGGTTAATAGACATAGACAATTAATATAATCAATGATATTAACTATGAAAATTCCTATTTATTCCTCAAAATCCCATCAGGCATTAAAGCATTAAAACTGACATATTTAAGGTTGCACAAAAAATCACCTTTAATAAATAAGCCTTAGATTACTTTTAAAACTGAATCAGATGCAATTAAAACACAAAGCCAAAGCATAACGAGACCTAAGAAGCACCTTAAGTAAGAAAAATTGAAATTAATGTGGAAAGCTCTGTGGTAGTAACAGAGTCTGTTGGTCACAGATTGTTCGATAGTCATGGGTATGTATATGCCTGGATATGTATAAATGTATGTACAAACAAACTATAAAGAAAAAACACCTAATTCCTAATACAAATAAAGAGAAAAATGTACAACCAGAAAAGTAAACCACCTGACACATACATAGTTGGCAAAATAGGAGGTTATCATAGCAAAATGCAGTCTCTCAAAGCTGCGGAACTGGGATTTAACAGCTAAAAAGGAAGATATGTGGTCTTCTGCTATCACCAAGGAGGGAGTTGAAATTGAAAGTCTAGTGGGACAGAATAACAGAAACACAAAACTAGTCATTAGTTAGCAAAACATGTGTTGCAGAAGTAAATTTCAAAAATTGGTTATAAGGAATACATTCATATCTTAAACAGCAAAAGAATGCTGCCAAAGATTAAAGTTCATTTTAGCCAATGATTAGATTACAGTTAAAGCTTACAGATTCTTAAGAGAAGTAATCTATCAGGGAAAGACAGCAAACTCCAAAAGAAAAAAAATCACCAACCTGAAAATTTGGATATTAGAACAAGGTGATCTAGATTATAAATTGATTTGTTTAAAATGTGTGAAATGACAAAAGAAAGATGAAAATTAAGAGGAAAAAGAATAGCATTGTGAAAAGTGAAGATGAAGATGAGAAAACTTACCAAATGGAAACTTGATGAATAGAAAGTATAGTGATGAACACAAAAAGTCAACGGACAGGTTAAGTGGCAAGTTTGATACAGTTGGAGAGAGAACTAGTGAATAAGATAAAGAACATAAATAGTTCAAAGAATGAAGTACAGAATGATAAAATAATTATTAAATATAAAAGAGAGCATGAGGGACAAAAAGGAAAAGTTTGAATTAACAAAAAATATCCAATGAGCCTTCCAGGAGGAGAACATGTAGAATATGTAGAAGGGTAATATCCAAAGGAAAGTCTAGAATGGAGTTTTTTCCCAAAACTGTGTATCTGAAGCAGTGTTAGAGCAGACAAACATACACAAAACACACATACACACACACATGCACACCCACTCCCTGACACAGCGAGAAAGAGAGTCAATATACACATGGAAAATGGCCACTCCAGATATTAAAACAACTCTGACCCCCAGCCTGAAGCAACCAGCCAAGAAGCCAAACCAAAACCTCTGTAGCAGTTGGCCCCAAACAAGACTTAATCAATAGCTGCCTGTTTCCATAATTCCATCTACTCCCTTCTGCTTCCAACTTATGACCAAGCAGAAAAAGGCAAGTATGTTCCCCTAACCAACCATAGAGGATGCCCCACTTCTAGTTAACAGGTCTCTAGTTTACAGATGCCAACAGCATCTAATCAAGGACATACCTGAATCCTTCCCACTTTGTCCGTTCTAAAGCTCTCCCACTCTGTTTTGTGTCTCTGTCAAATCCAAATGATAGTAGCTTGCTACAGCAAGCTATAAATAAATAGCCTGTGCTTGTTCTCCTTTGGGTAGTCTTTACTTATTTCTATAACACACACCCCAGACATATTGAAGTAATTCTTAACACTAAAGACAAGTAGACTTCGACCATCAAGTTTGCCATTCAGAGAGGCAATTCTACTGACTATATCATGATGAATTCAGATTTAGATAGCAGATCATATAAAAACATTAACACGTCCAGAGAAAATAATAATGTACCAAAATATTTTTAGATATGAATTTGCATGCTTTTAAAATATTAACTATCTCTAGCTAACCTTTTAAATATTTTATATTGATGAAATGGAAGAGGCTGTTAAATGTGCTATGCATTCAGAAGTCTGATTTCTCTATATTCAGTTCTCCAACTGTTTACCACATTCTGAAACCCATTCTAGAAGCACCTAAATAATAATAATAAATTATAATAATAAGGCTTTGAGATAGGCAGACCTGGCTACAAGTTTTATCTTCACACATTACAAGCTGTGAGATGCAGAGAAAACTTATCTTAGTTTATTCTTCTATAAAATATTATTAATGATAGATACTGTGTAGGGTGGTTGTAAGAATTAGCAAATGGGCAAAGAATTTTACCTTTGCATAATGAGTATTAGGTCACTTAAAAAATCTGTTGAAGCAAATTCATAGATGTTGCTCTTTGAATATAGTGTTAGTAACAGTGTATTTTAATATTTTTATAATATAAAATAATGCTTTATCTGGAATTTCAATTGTACTACATGTGGTCTATTCAAAACTTTTATATACTCATGATTCTTTGTGTAATGGTTCCTGTAATGACAATGTATACATCATTAACATGTTTATTAACACGTTCTAGAAGATAGAGTGGGAAAAGTGGTCAAGTTTATTTTGTCAACTAATACAGCAGTCTCCACCCTTTTTGGCACCAGGGACCAGTTTTGTGAAAGAAAATTTTTCCGTGGATCAGAGTTAGAGAGAGTTTCAGGATGATTCAAGTGCATTACATTGATTGCACACTTTATTTCTATTATCATTACATTGTAATATATGATGAAATAATTATACAACTCATCATAATGTAGAATCAATGGCAGCCCTCAGCTGATTTTCCTGCAACTAGGCAGTCCCAACTGGGAGTGATGGGAGACAGTAACAGATCATCAAGCATTCGATTCTCATAAGGAGCCCGCAACCTAGATCTCTTTCATGCACAGTTCACAATAGGACTTGTGCTCCTGTAAGAATCTAATGCCACTGCTGATCTGACAGGAGGTGGAGCTTAGGCAGTAATGTTCACTCTCTGGCCACTCACTCACCCTCTGTATGCCGCCTGGTTCCTAACAGGCCACAGACCAGTATTCAGCCATGGCCGATGGGTGAATTAAGGACCCACGAACTAACAGAACTGTATGGTCTTTTTTATGTAAAATATTTATGTCTTAGTAGAGTGGAGAAAATCTGAAGTAGAATTCCTTAGACTCTTGTATAAGAGTAAGGCTGATTGGTCTTCAGCATATCCATCACTTAGTCTCTCTGCATCTTGCTTTTCTTATCAGTGAAATTAGAAGGTCTTGGAGAGCTTTCCAGTTACATTTTGAGAAAAAGATTATTGTGTTAATTTTTATTGTTGAATAGTTTAGAGACTTCCATGCATACTCTCACAGAAAGCAGGCAAGAAATCCGTTAGGAAATAGACTATTCATATTGTGTATAATAGGGCAAGAGAAAGAAACTAAATAATGGACTCATAGATGTTTGTCTAATAAAATGTTCATGAGAATAAAGGCTATTTATTCAAATTAAGTACAAAGCAAAATGTGTGAGGAATGGGTAACAGCCTCTCAAGCTCATGCATTATACATAACTAACTTTTCTCCCTAAGAATATGTAGCTCAAAGGTGAGAGAAACTTAGCCCTATTTAGATAATGATAGTTGTATCTGCATATTTCACATGAAACAATGTAAGCGCATTTTCAAAGAAGTTATGTAAAGAAGTACATACACACAAAAAATAAATTATAACACTAATTACCTTCAGTGACCCAGAAATAATTTAAATATTTTTTAAAAGACTCAATATCTGATATACTACTTATTTTAGGAATTCATGATATATATAAAACTGATGTATTCAACATAATTTATTTTTACATTAAAAAATTAGCATTAGTTTGTTATAGTAAAACCACCTTTTACTTTGTAAATTGTCAGTTTTACCTGATTTCCATTTTAAAAAATCTAGTGAGCTTTCTAGCTAATGAGTTTATATACAAAATTAAGCTACTTTCATAAAAAAATCACCCCATTGAAACAATAGCTATCAATTAATTAAAAAATCCCTCTTCACCATCTTGTATAATAAGGTAGATAAATTCAAGTAGTAAATATCTGTTCAAAATATATGATCTTTCAGTCTTCTTTGGCCCCACAGAACATTTGTAAGTCTTCAGTTTTTTAATTACTGCCACGATGTGGAATACGAACATACAAATTCTCTGTTAAAATGTTTTTATGAAAAAGAACAAAAAATAAAAAAAAATCTAAAATTGCTCTTTTACTTAAACACTTCCCTAGAGTAAAAACTCTTCTATAACAGGGTGTGTTGGGGACTGTCATGGGTGGGGCTAGGGGAAGGATAGCGTTGGGAGAAATACCAAATGTGGATGACAGGCTGATGGGTGCAGCAAACCACCATGGCACATGTATACTTATGTAACAAACCTGCACGTTCTGCACATGTATCCCAGAACTTAAAGTATAATAAAAAAGAAATAAGAAAATAGGCTTGAGCTAATGGTTTCCACACATGTTAATGAACCCCCTTCTATCAAATCTCTGAAGACAGCACTCTACTAGTTACCCCAGTTTTAATTTTTCTGTGATAACAGAGGTGAGAAACCAACTCAAATAACATCAGAGAGACTAGTTGGCTTCCTTATTGCATGTAAGTCAACCACATACTTTCTCTGGAAAAAAATGGAGTAAGGAAAATTAAATTTATTTATTTTTGCTAGAGTAGAAACTCTTCGATTCCTCAGTCATTTATTACTTAAGTATCCCTGCACCATACATCTGAATCAGCTGCAGGTTTCTTAGACATGCCAAAAGCTCTGATTCAGTATGTCTAGGGCAGGGCTTAAAATGCATGTTGATGAGGTTCCAGGTAATGTGGATGCTGAAGTTGAGAGGAACACACCCTGTTATAGAAAGTCATTGGTATCTTGATGGGGATAGCATTGAATCTATAAATTAGTTTGGCAGTATGGCCCTTTTGATGATATTGATTCTTCCTATCCAGAAGCATGGAATGTTTTCCTATTTGTTTGTGTCCTCTGTTATTTCCTTGGGCAGTGGTTTGTAGTTCTCCTTGAAGAGGTCCTTCACATCCCTTGTAAGTTGGATTCCTAGGTATTTTATTCTCTTTGTAGCAATTGTGAATGGGAGTTTACTCATGATTTGGCTCTCTGTTTGTCTACTATTGGTGTATAGGAATGCTTGTTATTTTTGCACTTTGATTTTGTATCCCGAGACTTCGCTGAAGTTGCTTATCAGCTAAAGGAGATTTTGGGCTGAGACAATGGGGTTTTCTAAATATACAATCATGTCGTCTGCAAACAAAGACAATTTGACTTCCTCTTTTCCTAATTGAATACGCTTTATTTTTTTCTCTTGCCTGATCGCCCTGACCAGAACTTCCAATACTATGTTGAATAGGAGTGGTGAGAGAGGGCACCCTTTTCTTGTGCCGGTTTTCAAAGGAAGTGCTTCGAGGTTTTGCCCATTCAGTATGATATTGGCTGTGGGTTTGTAATAAATAGCTCTTATTATTTTGAGATACATTCCATCAATGCCTAGTTTATTGAGAGTTTTTAGCATGAAGGGCTGTTGAATTTTGTTGAAAGCCTTTTCTCCATTTATTGAGATAATCATGTGGTTTTTGTCATTGGTTCTGTTTATGTGATGGATTATGTTTATTGATTTGCGTATGTTGAGCCAGTCTTCATCTCAGGGATGAAGGCAACTTGGTCGTGGTGGATAAGCTTTTTGATATGCTGCTGGATTCGGTTTGCTAGTATTTTATTGTGGATTTTCACATCCATGTTCATCAGATATATTGGCCTGAAATTTTCTTTTTTTGTTGTGTCTCTGCCAGGTTTTGGTATCAGGATGATGCTTGCCTCATAAAATGAGTTAGGGAGGATTCCTTCTTTTTCTATTGATTGTAATAGTTTCAGAAGGAATGGCACCAGCTCTTCTTTGTACCTCTGGTAGAATTCACATCTGATCCTGGACTTTTGGTTGGTAGTCTATTAATTGCTGCCTCAATTTCAGAACCTGTTATTGGTCTATTCAGGGGTTCAGCTTCTTCCTGGTTTAGTCTTGGGAGGGTGTATGTGTCCAGGAATGTATCCATTTCTTCTAGATTTTCTAGTTTATTTGTGTAGAGGTGTTTATAGTATTCTCTGATAGTAGTTTGTATTTCTGTAAGATCAGTGGTGATATCCCCTTTATTATTTTTTATTGCATCTATTTGATTCTTCTCTCTTCTTTATCAGTCTGGCTATTGGTCTATCTATTTTGTTGATCTTTTCAAAATACCCCCTCCTGGATTCATTGATTTTTTTCAAGGGTTTTTTTGTGTCTCTCCTTCAGTTCTGCTCTGATTTTGGTTATTTCTTGTGTTCTGCTAGCTTTTGAATTTGTTTGCTCTTGCTTCTCCGGTTCTTTTCATTGTGATGTTAGCGTGTCGATTGTAGATCTTTCCTGCTTTCACTTGTGGGCATTTAGTGCTATCAATTTCCCTCTACCCAGTGGGTGTAGCCCAAGGACAGTGAGCCAAAGCAGGGTGGGGCATCTCCTCACCCGGGAAGCACAAGGGGTCGGGGGACTCCCTCTCCCAGCCAAGGGAAGCCAGTAGGGACTGTACCACGTACTCCGGCCCAGATACTGCACTTTTCCCATGGTCTTCGCAACTCGCAGACCAGGAGACTTTCTGGTGCCTATACCACCAGGACCCTGAGTCTCCAGCACAAAACTAGGAGGCCACTGGGCAGACACAGAGCTAGCCATAGGAATTTTTTTTCATACCCCAGTGGCACCTGGAATGCCAGCGAGACAGAACCGTTCACTCCTCTGGAAAAGGGACTGAAGCCAGGGCGCCAAGTGGTCTGGCTCAGCGGATCCCACCCATACAGAGCCCAGCAAGCTAAGATCCACTGGCTTGAAATTCTCGCTGCCAGCACAGCTGTCTGAGTTCGACCTGGGACACTCGAGCTTGGTGGCGGGAGGGGCGTCCACCATTGCTGAGGCTTGAGTAGGTGGTTTCACCTTCACGGTGTGGTGTAAACAAAGCTGCTGGGAAGTTCGAACTGGGGGAAGCCCACACCAACTCAGCAAGGCTGCTGCGGCCAGACTGCCTCCTCTCTGGGCAGGGCATCTCTGAAAAAAAGGCAGCAGCCCTAGTCAGGGACTTATAGATAAAATCCCTGCCTCCCTGGGACAGAGCACCTGGGGGAAGAGGTGGTTGTGGGTGCAGCTTCGGCAGACTTAAACATTCCTACCTGGCAGCTCTGAAGAGAGCAGCGGATCCATCGGCACAGCGTTCGAGCTCTGATAAGGGAGAAACTGCCTCCTCAAGTAGGTTCCTGACCCCTGGATATCCTGACTAGGAGGCATCTCCCAGTAGGGGCTGACAGACACTTCATACAGGAAAGCTCTGGCTGGCATCTGGCAGGTGCCCCTCTGGGATGAAGCTTCCAGAGGAAGGAACAGGCAGCAATCTTTGCTGGTCTGCAGCCTCTGCTGGTGATACCCAGACAAACAGGGTCTGGAGTGGACCTCCAGCAAACTCCAGCAGTCCTGAAGCAGAGGGAACTGACTATTAGAAGGAAAACTAACAAACAAAAAGAAATAGTATCAACATCAACTAAAAGGTCGTCCACTCAGAGATCTATCCAAAAGTCACCGCCTTCAAAGACCAAAGGTAGATAATTCCACCAAGATGGGGAGAAACCAGTGCAAAAAGGCTGAAAATTTCAAAAACCAGAATGCCTCTTCTCCAAAGGATCATAACTCCTTGCCAGCAAGGGAACAAAACTGGACGGAGAATGAGTTTGATGAATTGATAGAAGTAGGCTTCAGAAGGTGGGTAATAACAAACTCCTCTGAGCTAAAGGAGCGTGTTCTAACCCAATGCAAGGAAGCTAAGAACCTTGAAAAAAGGTTAGATGAATTGCTAACTAGAATAACCAGTTTAGAGAAGAACATAAATGACCTGATGGAGCTGAAAAATACAGCACGAGAACTTCGTGAAGCATACTCAAGTATCAATAGCCGAATCGATCAAGCAGAAGAAAGGATATCAGAGATTGAAGATCAACTCAATGAAATAAAGTAAGAAGACAAGATGAGAGAAAAAAGAGTGAAAAGAAATGAACAAAGTCTCCAAGAAATATAGGACTATGTGAAAAGACCAAATCTACGTTTGATTGGCGTACTTGAAAGTGATGGAGCGAATGGAACCAAGTGGGAAAACATTCTTCAGGATATTATCCAGGAGAATGTCCCCAACCTAGCAAGGCAGGCCAACATTCAAACTCAGGAAATAGAGAGAACACCAAGATACTCCTCAAGAAGAGCAACCCCAAAACACATAATCTTCAGATTTACCAAGGTTGAAATGAAGGAAAAAATGTTAAGGGCAGCCAGAGAGAAAGGTGGAGTTACCCACAAAGGGAAGCCCATCAGACTAACAGTGGATCTCTTGGCAGAAACCCTACAAGCCAGAAGAGAGTGTGTGCCAATATTCAACATTCTTAAAGAAAAGAATTTTTAACCCAGAATTTCATATCCAGCCAAATAAAGCTTCATAAGCGAAGGAGAAATAAAATCCTTTACAGACAAGAAAATGCCGAGAGATTTTGTCACCACCAGGCCTGCCCTACAAGAGCTCCTGAAGGAAGCACTAAACATGGAAAGGAACAACTGATACCAGCCACTGCAAAAACATACCAAATTGTAAAGCCCATCGATGCTATGAAGAAACTGCATAATCTAAAGGGCAAAATAACCAGCTAGCATAATAATGGCAGGATCAAATTCACACATAACAACATTAACCTTAAATGTAAATGGGCCAAATGACCCAATTAAAAGGCACAGACTGTCAAATTGAATAAAGAGTCAAGGCCCATCAGTGTGCTGTATTCAGGAGGCCCATCTCATGTGCAAAGACACACATAGTCTCAAAATAAAGATATAGAGGAATATTTACCTAGCAAATGGAAAGCAAAAAAAAAAAAAAAAAAAAAGCAGGGGTTGCAATTGTAGTATCTGATAAACCAATAAAACAGACTTTAAACCAACAAAGATCAAAAGAGACAAAGAAGGGCATTACATAATGGTAATGGGATCAATGCAACAAGAAGAGCTAACTATCCTAAATATATATATATACACCCAATACAGGAGCACCGAGATTTATAAAGCAAGTTCTTAGAGACCTACAAAGAGAATTAGGCTCCCACGCAATAATAGTGGGAAACTTTAACACCCCTCTGTCAATATTAGACAGATCAATGAGACAGAAAATTAACAAGGATATCCAGGACTTGAACTCAGCTCAGACCAAGTGGACCTAATAGACATCTACAGAACTCTCCACCCCAAATCAACAGAACATACATTCTTCTCAGCACCACATCACACTTATTCTAAAATTGACCACATAATTGGAAGTAAAACACTCCTCAGCAAATGCAAAATAACGGAAATCATAACAAACCATCTCTCAGACACAGTGCAATCAAATTAGAACTCAGGATTAAGAAACTCACTCAAAACCACACAACTACATGGAAACTGAGCAATCTGCTCCTGAATGACTACAGGGTAAATAATGAAATGAAGACAGAAATACAGATGTTCTTTGAAACCAATGAAAACAAAGACACAATGCACCAGCTTAAGCCTTTATTAAAAATACTGCAGCATAAGAATAACTTAAGATGACAGTTCTTGGGTGCAGAAAGCCCAAGAGATTTGTATGTCAAACTGAAGAAGGTCAGTTAAAGTTTACTGTTAATTGTTTTAATTTCATAAGGTATAGATAACTTGGGTTATCCTCAGAGAAAAGGGTCTGTGAGACCTGGGCTGTGGTCTTAACACAACCTGGTTGTTCTAATTAGGTTTAACAAGAAGGAGGAACAGTTCGAGGGTCAAGAATTTTCAAGGGTCATTGGAAACAGAGCGATTACTGTGAAAGATAGGTCCCACAGTAGGTCCTTCAGCATCTACTGTGAAAGACCAGTTGCAAGAATAAGTTCCCTCACTACAGTAACATGAGTTAATTTTCAGATATCTCATATAATTAGTATCCATTCATAAATATAGTGTGTCACTAGCATATTCTGTATGTAGATCATCTTAGTTAACTTTTGAAGTACTTGTGATAAGTATCTTATTTCATATTTTACAAATAGAAGCTGCTTGGCCACAAAGGCAAAGTTTTCAAAGTGAAGTCTCAGGCCAGAGCACTTTCTCATAGCAGTTTAGCTAAACTGCTTCTAAATGTTATAACAAAGTTAATTTTAAACATATTTAGAATTACTTTATTACAAAAGACAAATTTAATAAAATAATTTTATGTTATTAATTTAAATTTTCTTTTTAAAATTTATTTTAAGTTTTAATTTTTTTATTTCAATAGATTTTTAGGGAACAGGTGGTGTTTAATTACGTGAATAGGTTTTTTAGTGGCAATTTCTGAGATTCTGGTGCACTCATCACCCGAGCAGCATACACTATACCCGATGTGTCATCTTTTATCCCTCAGCACCCCCAATTCTTTCCCCCAGAGTCTCCAAGGCCCAATGGATCATTCTTATGCCTTTATGTCCTCATATCTTAGCCCCCACATGTGAGAACATAAAATGTTTGGTTTTCCACTCCTGAGCTACTTCACTTAGAATAATAGTCTCCAATTCCATCCAGGTTGCTGTGAATGCCATTATTTCAATCCTTTTTTGTGGCTGAGTGGTATTGCATGGTATATATATGCCATATTTTCTTTATCCACTTGTTGATTGATGGGCATTTGGACTGGTTACATATTTTTGCAATTACAAATTGTACTGCTATAAACATGAGTGTACAAGTATCTTTTTTGTATAATGACTTTTTTTCCTCTGGATGGATACCCAGTAGTGGGATTGTTGGATCAAACAGTATCTCTACTATTAGTTCTTTAAGGAATATCCACACTGTTTTCCATAGTGGTTGTACAAGTTTGAGTTCTCACCAACAGTGTAAAAGTGTTCCCTTTTCACCTCATCCACGTGAACATCTATTATTTTTTTGATTATGGCCGTTCTTGCAGGAGTGAGGTGATATTGCATTGTAGTTTTGATTTGCATTTCCCTGATAATTAGTGATGTTGAGCATTTTTCCATATGTTTGTTGGCCATTTGTATATCTTCTTTTGAGAATTATCTATTCATGTCCTTAGCTCACTTTTTAATGGGATTGTTTGGAGTTTTTTGCTGTTTTGTCTAAGTTCTTTGTAGATTCTGAATATCATTCCTTTGTCAGATGTATAGATTGTGAAGATGTTCTCGCACTCTGTAGGTTATCTGTTAACTCTGCTGATTATTTATTTTGCTGTGCAGAAACTTTTAAGTTTAATTAAGTCTTGTCTATTTATATTTGTTTTTGTTGCATTTGCTTTTGGGCTCTTGGTCATGAAGCCTTTGGCTAAGCGAATGTCTAGAAAAATTTTTCCAATGTTATCTTCTAGAATCTTTATGGTTTCAGGTCTTAGATTTAAGTATTTGATCCATCTTGAGTTGATTTTTGTATAAAGTGAGAGATGAGGATCCAGTTTCATTCTTCTACATGTGGCTTTCCAATTATCCCAGCACCATTTTTTGAATAGGGTATGCTTTCCCCACTTTATGTCTTTGTTTGCTTTGCCGAAAATCAGTTGACTGTTAAGTATTTGGCTTTATTTCTGGATTTCTGTTCCATTGGTCTATGTACCTATTTTTATACCAGTACCATGCTGTTTTGGTGACTATGACCTGATAGTATAGTTTGAAGTCAGGTAATATAATGCCTCCAGAATTGTTCTTTTTGCTTCGTATTGCTTTAGCTATGCAGGCTCTTTTCTTGGTTCCATATAAATTTTAGGCTTTTTTTTTTTTTCAGTTTTGTGAAGAATGATGGTGGTATTTATGGGAATTGAATGGAATTTGTAGATTGCTTTTGGCAGTATGGTCATTTTCACAATATTGATTCTACCCATCCATAAGTATAGGACGTGTTTTCATTTGTTTGTTTCATCTATGATTTCTTTTAGCAGTGTTTTGTAGTTTTCCTTGTAAAGGTCTTTCATGTCCTTGGTTAAGTATATTTCTGTATTTTATTTTATTTGCAACTATTGTGAAAGAAGTTGAGTTCTTGATTTGATTTTCAGCTATGTCTCTATTTGTGTATAGCAGAGCTACCGATTTGTGTATATATTGTATCCTGAAACTTTGCTGAATTTATTTACCAGTTCTAGAAGCTTTTTGGATGAATCTTTAGAGTTTTCTTGGTATATGGTTATATCATCATCAAACAGTGACGGTTTAATTTTCTCTTTACCAATTTAGATATGCTTTATTTTTTTCTCTTGTCTGATTGCTCTGGCTAGGACTTCCAGTACTATGTTGAGTAGAAGTGGTGAAAGTGGGTGTCCTTGTCTTATTCCAGTTCTTAATGGGAATTTTTTTAACATTTCCTCATACAGTATAATGTGGGCTGTGAGTCTGTCATAGATGACTTTTATTTCCTTAAGGTATGTCCCTTCTATGCCCATTTGCTATGGGTTTTAATCCTTAAGAGATGCTGGATTTTGTCAAATGCTTTTTCTGCACCTATTGGGATGATCATGTGGTTCTTGTTTTTACTTTTGTTTATGTGGCACACCACATTTATTGACTTACTTATGTTAAACCATCCCTGCATCCCTGATATGAAACCCACTTGATCGTTGTGAATTATCTTTTTGGTATGCTGTTGGCTTCAGTTACTATTCTCTTGAGGATTTTTACTTCTATGTTCATTAAAGATAATGGTCTGTAGTTTTCTATTTTTTAAGCCCTGATTTTGGTATTAGGGTGATACTGGTTTCATAGAATGATTTAGGGAGAATTCCCTCTTTCTCTGTCTTGAGGAATAGTGTCAATAGAATTGGTATCAATTCTTCTTTAAATGTCTGATGGAATTCAGCTGTGAATCCATCTGGTCCTGGACTTTTTTTTGTTGACAATTTTTTAAATTATCGTTTTAATCTTGCTGCTTGTTAATGGTCTGTTCCGAGATTCTATATCTTCCTGGTTTTATCTGTCTTCCAGGAATTTATCCATCTCCTCTAGGTTTTCTAGTTTATGCACACAAAGGTGTTCACAGTAGCCTTGAATAATCTTTTGCATTTCTGTGGCAACAGTTGTAATATCTCCCATTTCATTTCTAATTGAGCTTATTTGGATCTTCTGTCTTCTTGGTTACTCTCTCTAATGGTCTATCAATTTTATTTATCTTTTCAGAGAACCCGATTTTTGTTTCATTTATCTTTTGTATTGCTTTTTGTTTGTTTATTTCAATTTCATTTAGTTATTCTCTTATCTTGGCTATTTCTTTTCTTTTGCTGGGTTTGGGTTTGGATTGTTCTTGTTTCTCCAGTTCCCTGAAGTGTGGATTAGATCTTAGATTTTCTGTTTGTGCTCTTTCAGACTTTTAGATGTATTCATTTAATGCTATGAACTTCTTAGTATCATTTTTGCTGTATCCCAGTGTTCAAGTTTCTCAGGCAGTGGTCAGGGCCATGCAACTTCCAAGAGATTATGACCTTTGTCTTTGGCTACCAGGGCTGCTAGAGAAAGACCACCAGGTGGGAGCAGGGATAGGTGTGTCTGAACTCAGTCTTTCCTTGGGCAAGGCTTACTGTGGCTGCTGTGGGGGATGAGGGTGTGTTTCCCAGTCCAGTGGAGCTATATTTTCAGGGGGATTATGGCTGCCTCTGCTGAGTCATACAGGTTGCCAGGACTAGCTTGCATCTACGTGTCTGAGGAAGGGATGCAAGCTAGTCCTGGCTCTGTTCGCCATCTTAATCCTAATGTAATTATTCTTTGTGTGTGTCTACTTCCACATATTATCCATAGAAATTTTAAATATAAATCAATAATACGAGGCTAAAAGATTATAATCTATTAAAAATATATGGTTATTATGTGAGGAGAAAAAACACTTTGGTTTTCTATATTTGCAAATTTGCCAATAATCAATATGTATCCCAGCCTTTTCTAACCATATAGGATGCATAAAATTGATCATAAGCTATTCCTTAATTTTATTTTTACAAATACACATACATATATGTGCATGTGACTAAATGTTTTTAGGGAATTTTTAAAAATGTGATGTTGTATTGGATTACAGATGAGTAGTAATTAGAATCCAATGCTATTAAATTGCTACATTTAGAAGCAATTAAAGTAGCAAGTGTTTTTCATAAGATTGACTCAATGTAATTTATTAAGTACAAACAGCGAGATTCATAATAATGATAATAATACCTTAGATAGGATATACTTGATATTCTATTGCTTCTCTAGCCTATTGGTAATTTGACAGATTGTTGATTGAACAACTCTTGAGTATGACGTTTTTCATCATATTTTCCCTGGGGCAGCTAGAAAGCAGTAAAGCTCTCTTGATTCTCCTGGCCCTTCACTGGACCAATACTAAGGTAGCAAGATGCAAACCAACCTCTCTTGGAGAGCTGAAATGAAACTGTTTATTTTAGTCCCTCTCTTAAGCTCATGGTGGACAGTCTGATTAATATCTTGGCTATAGGGGACACCCAAGTTTAAATCAAAGTGTTGTGACCAAACATGGCAGCAAAAGCTTTATATTTTCAGAAATTCATTAAATTTGTCTTAGGGAGCATTTTCAGGTTTCTTGACTATGTAAGTTTTTTTTTTTTAATAACCATTGTCATCTTATTTTTTAAATTATTTATTTTTATATACGGTAGAGAATTGAATTTTCTTTTTCATTTCTCCTCCTGTTTCCTTAGCCAAGGTATGAAATTCATACCCATCACAAAGAATCTGCTCTGTTATGCTACTCTAAATTAATCTTGGAATCACATCGGTCTCTTTATTGGGGACCTCAAAATACTCTACATTTTAGTTCATTTGCAGAAACAGTGCTTTGAAAAGCATTTATTCCTCGGCTGTTTAACTGCATTGTAGTTGCTTTCCTCAACCATACTTGGGGACATCGAGCTAGCCTTCTGAAGCTCTTTGCTTTCGGAGTTGGTGTGTCCTAATGTATGCTCCATAAAATTATTTCTGATTACTGTTCTTATCTTCTTCCTCCTCTGGTTAATAATATTATAATTAATAACATATTTGAGCTCTTCCTAAGTTATCGGTCATGGGCTATTTTTTATGCACAACATAATAAAAGATACAAAGTATATATCTATATATTTTTGCTTGTGGAACTGTCTACTTTCTATTGACTCATATAGCTGAAGCTCTTCTGATATTAAGAAATTCAGTAATTTAAACAATGGAATGAAACTTTAGTTTTTTACCATCTTAGCAAGTATTTAGACCAAACAAAAAGCTACAAGGAACTACAAAGAAAAATGTGTAAAAAAAGTCAGTATAAACAAATAAATAGATAATTCAAAATTTCTAGTGAATTTTTAAGCATATTTTTGTCTTGATATGCACAGCCAGTTTGTGGTATAGGTGGAATATTATTAAATTACAAAGTTTGGCCGGGCGCGATGGCTCATGCCTATAATCCCAGCACTTTGGGAGGCCAAGGCGGGCCGATCACGAGGTCAGGAGATCGAGACCATCCTGGCCAACATGATGAAACTCCGTTTCTACTAAAAATACAAAATAAATTAGCTGGGCATGGTGACACGTGCCCGTAATCACAGCTACTTGGGAGGCTGAGGCAGGAGAATTGCTTGAACCAGGGAGTCGGAGGTTGCAGTGAGCCGAGATTGTGCCCCTGCACTTCAGCCTGGTGACAGAGCAAGACTCCGTCTCAAAAAAAAAAAAATTACAAAGTTCATTTAACTAATATGAAAATAGTTGAGAACAAAATCCAAGCTTACTATATTCTGATTGAGGTACCATTTTTTAGGTGTCTTCCTTGGAAATAATGCTAAAATATATGTTTTCTAAAGCTCACCATGAATCTAATTACTGAGCACAAATATGAACTCATACTAATATTAAGACTTCAATAGAATCTCCAAAGGGCTTTTTCAAATCTCAAACTATTCGTATTTTACTGATATCATTAGGACGACAACAGAAAGGGACTGCATAGTCCCAGTCCTTACTTTAAATCTGTAAATTGATATGCTTTATAGCACTGAGTAAGCAACTCAGCCTCCTCAGACCTTAGTTTTTCCATTTTTGTGACAGTCCATGATTCTCAAGAAATGAAGTCTTTAATACTCCACTTAGCTGGAGGGACATGGTATGATGAGTGGGCTGTTGGCAAAAGAAAGTGTGAATTAGAAGATTCTGACTTTACATGATAATGCTTAAGGTCAAAAAAGCACAGAAAACTTGGTAAAACTGAAACTACTCTTTCCTTGTTTGTATGAAATGTGAGAGGCAGCCTGAGAGACTCACAAATGTATGCTTGTCCTTTGTAAATTTGCTCTCTTTTTTTTCACTACGGGAGTTAAAAGTTACACTGCTGAATAATTAAAATTAGCATACAATTACATGACATTTCGAAACAATGCACAAAATGAATTGAGAAATTGAGAAATAAATAAGCCATGAGTA
This sequence comes from Homo sapiens, assembly GCF_000001405.40. Taxonomy (NCBI): domain Eukaryota; kingdom Metazoa; phylum Chordata; class Mammalia; order Primates; family Hominidae; genus Homo; species Homo sapiens. The sequence continues at coordinate 19,070,937 of NC_000005.10, read as the reverse complement.
CTAAAGATTATATTTTCTAACCATTTTGTTGGATGTTTTTTTGGGCTACATATTTTTCTTTTTACAAAAGGATATTACATTAAGAATGTAAATCTCTGTACATATGAAAACATGGAGAAAACTACTTTTAAATAAATTATTCAATTTCTTCAAATATTTATTCTTTTTGTTGTTGTTGTTGTTGAGACGGAGTCTCACTCTGTCTCCTGGGCTGGAGTGCAGTGACATGATCTTGGCTCACCGCAAGCTCTGCCTCCCGAGTTCACATCATTCTCCTGCCTCAGTGTCCCGAGTAGCTGGGACTACAGGCGCCTGCCACCACGCCCGGCTAATTTTTTGTATTTTTAGTAGAGGCTGGGTTTCACCATGTTAGCCAGGATGGTCTCGATCTCCTGACCTCATGATCCACCTGCCTTGGCTTCCCAAAGTGCTGGGATTACAGGCGTGAGCCACCGCGCCCAGCTTATTTATTCTTAATTTTTACATAATATAGATGGTAAGGAGACTCACCTTTAAAAATTTCTAATTCTAAAAAAAATTTATTTTTTAAATAAATATAAAGAAATGTATATCTATTTTCTTTAACTTGTCTTGAATCATTATAAAAATCTATCTTTGTCATATATAATAATGGTGATTAAATTATAATTTCTGTAACAAATTATATTCACCATTTTTAAATCTTCTACATGTAATATAAATTACTTCTTATTTAATAAGCAAACATATTACCTAGAGCACCTGTAATGATAATTTTAGCGATACATATCTGGGAAATAACTTCACACTAAAGATTTTATCGTTTTCTAAAATAATTTCCAAGCTAAAAGACCATATGGCATTTCCTGGAATGCCTGTTAAAACTCACTACATATAAGAGACATGTGACGGCAAATTCCATTATATTTAGTCTTACCTTACAAGGAACAGAATAAGGAAAGAAGATGAGCACAAACTCAAAAACCACTTTGATATTGACGGGTGACAGAATATGCCACCCCAAAATACACCCCTTTGTCATAAGGATTGTTTTGAAACAAATGCAGTTTAAAAAGATAGCAACCAGCAGGTGCAAGAAGAATGTTCTGACACCTTCATCCTACCACACACAGAGTTATTTTTTTTTTTCTGAAAGCAGAAGATAAAACCCCCATATGGAAGATGTTCCTTGTATACCAGAAGGAATGCAACATTCTAATCATCAAGGATGGGTAGCTGAAATTGAGAAAATTTTATACAAACAGAACTTGTTAAAATAATTTTTATCTTCTGTTAGCCTAACCCTCATAATTTAGTTACTTTTCCACAATTGCCCCTCTTTCGTCAACATAATATAAAAGCATTTAGATTTTGCCACTTTTTTGGGACTTCACTTTTTTTATGAGGGTTCCCATGTCATGCAAAACTTCTTTTTTTTTTTTTTTTTTTTTTTTTTTTTTGAGACGGAGTCTTGGTCTGTCACCCAGGCTGGAGTGCAGTGGCATGATCTGGAGTGCAGAGGCAAGCTCCGCCTCCCGGGTTCACACCATTCTCCTGCCTCGCTACCACGCCTGGCTAATTTGTTGTATTTTTAGTAGAGACGGGGTTTCACCGTGGTCTCGATCTCCTGACCTCGTGATCTGCCCGCCTCGGCCTCCCAAAGTGCCAGGATTACAAGCGTGAGCCAGCGCGCCCGGCTGCAAAACTTCTATTTAATAAACTTGTACGCTTTTCTCCTGTTAATCTGTCTTATGTCAGTTTAATTCTCAAGTCTACCCCAGAAAATTCCAAAAGGTAGAGGTAAAATTTGGCCTGCAATATCTACATGAGTGCCAGTTAATACTGAAAACAATGAAAATGTCCTACTATATAATTAGTTTCAAATAGAATTATCGAAATATAATAGAAGGTGTCAGTAGGTCTTACTTCAACTGGTGACTTTATTTTCATACTATTAGAATTACTGGTAGAATTGAATACTGTAATAGTACTTTAACTCAAAATTTATATATATTTATATATGATATATATATTTTACATATATACATATATGTATATCTCCTGACAATTTAGTGTCAAGATTTTATAAGAAAGAAAAATCATAGCAAAATTCAGGAATGATTTAGAGCAGAAAGCACATTGGCAAGGTGAAAATTTATCTGAAGATTTGAAACTTGATTCATACGAAATACCTTCAGAACAAAGACTGTATTCTGAAAAAAGATGACTAATTACTTTCTTTTCTCTGTCACTTGAATCCATTAATTATGATTATAACTCAAAACAAAAAAATGAAAATAAAAATAGTTTAAAATAATAACTTCAGTAAATGTATAGCTAGCAGAAGTATGCTACACATTTTATGGATTAGAAAATAAAGCCCTAAATCTAAATTGATACATTTATACAAGACCGAACAGAAATTGTCAGAGTCAAATCTAAAATCCTGTTCTTGAGATCAGTGTTTTTCTAACTATATATGGTTACTTTCTACACAAGCTATTTAATAGAAATATAATTTCTATAATATAATAGTATATAATAATTTGTATAATATAATAAGGATTTTTTTTTACCCCAATGACAATAGGTCTTAACAGCAGTGTCTATAAATCCTGAGAATAGATTACCTACATAAACATTATTTGAAGGTGGGTATATCATGTCTTTGAGCTTCTGGATCTCACCAATAGTGGTTCGATTCAGAAAATCAAACATCTAGCACTAGCATCTTAATCCTTAACACATTTCTCAGGTGCGTCCCCTTAGAAATGACGGGAGCCGTTATTCTGGAAGACCATTCAGTAGAGTTCAAAACTAACCACAATAAGGGATTTTTTAAAAGATATAAAATTTGGCTCAGGCTTTCACAGAAACAAATCCTGAGATGAAAATTTGAGTGCAAATAAAGTACTGAGAATCCAGAGAATGTTACTCTGGTATGGGAGAGTTAGGGAAATCAGTAAGCAAAGGGAAAGAAGACAAAATAGAGGATGCAGTGGCCCTTGTGGTCAATTGGAGCAAAGACATTGGATGACTGATCCACTAACTCCCTGTCCACCCTTCAATAAGAGCTATTCCCAGGCCTTTAACTAACACCCTGTCTCTCCTCCCTCTCTGTAACACAAACACACATCTCTGGCTTACTCTATACTGAAAGAGTTTTCACAGTCACGTAGAAAAGAGTCATAGTTGTTTGAAGTAAAAAAATTTTGTCATGTGCAAGTGTGTGCTGAAGTTACAAGAGTGGGGCATTGACAGTGTTTGTGACTGTCAGTGACTGTCAGTGAGTTTGTTAACTGTCAATCCTTGATTTCCATGATCATACAAACCTGGATTTTATTTTATTTTATTTCTGAACCCTTGTTTTGAGACCCATATGTCATCATTTCATGCTTCTACACATCATTAGATGTTGCAGTTACGCAGAAGTTATTATAGAGTCTCTTTCTAATTCTATACTTCCTTGCTAGATGATTATATTTTATACTACAATTCAAACCAATATTAACTTACTTAGAGTAGACAAAGCTATATCTCCATCAAAGATTGTCTTCTGAGCTCCAAGCTTCCATATCTACAGGTACACTTTACAAAATTCTTTGGATATCTTGCAGGCAGTTCTATCTCAACATATTCATGCATGCATCCATCCACTCATTAAAAAGTATTTATTGAGTGCCTAGTATGTGTATAGGGGATGTAACAGCCAGTGAACAAAACAGAAAGAAAACAATATAAAATAAAATTTTGTCTCGTATGTAGTTAAGGTACTATTTCAAAGGATAAAACAGACTAAATAGCTGTTATGTATTTATTAATAATTTATCGTTGGCTCAATATTAACTGAGGAAAGGATTAAGAGGTTTAAGAACGCTTGTAATTTTTGATGGAGTAGCCAAGGAAGGCACTTCTGTGTAAAAAGTTTGAAGGAGGTGAAACAAATAGCTTTGGGGTCACCTTGGGAAAGACCTATTCAGTCAAAATATACAAGTACAAAAGATATAAGTACAAAGGCCCAGAGGCAGACAAGTGATTATTGAAGGACATTACTAGAAGGCTAAGGAGATAGAAGAAAATGATAACATCAAGGGAGTAATGGGAGCCCTGATTAGGAGGACCTTATGCATCATTATAAGTGGTTTGATTTTTATTGTGAATAAGATTGGAAGTTATTGAGCAGAGGAATTACAATGACTGCCTTACATTTTAACAAGATATATTTCGAGTTGCCCTTTGTGATTCAAGGCATCACAGAAGGAGGTAGAATAGTTAGAATGCCACTGCAATAAATTAAGCAAGAGATGAAGTGCTTTAAACAATCTGTGAGCAGTAGAGTTGCTGATATGTTTTAGGATGCTAATATTGATGAAGGTTGAAATGGTGGTTCTGCCTTAATATATGAGAAAAACTAGAGTCAAGGATGATTCCAAGATTATTTATGTAGTTATGTATAACTGAACAATTGGAAAACTTTATTTGATTCTTACTGACTTGAGTAAAACTGAAAACTGACATGAAATATTCACTAAAACCTCATCCTTGTCTACTGTTTCTCTTCTCAGTATGTGACACTGATCTGATGCTTAATACAGAAAATTAAAAATCATGGGTGTATCTCTCTTTTTGAGAGAAATATATATATATACACACACACGCACACACCCATATATCTAATAAGCAAACATATATATGTGTATGAGTATAACGCATTTTTAAAATTCAAAATATAAAGACCACATATTGACACCCTTAAACCACTCCCTTATTATCCTTTCTAGTCCAGTCTATTGCAAAAGTAACTTAATCAGACCCCCCACACTCATTTCTGTCCCCTTCAAATTCATTTTTTAAACTAGAGAAAAAAATAATTAAAAAGTTTAGAAAACTTAAGATATTTAGCTTAAAATCGTTTGATTGGCCTTTTAGTTTCCCTTAAATTCCAAAGCCTTAATCTTATTATCAAAATCCTGAATAGTCTAATTGTCATCTGCCTCTCCAGCTTTGCATGGAACCAAACTATCTTTTAATCCATATAGTATAACTGCCATAGTCTTCTCAATGGACTCTCAATGTTCCTCAATGTACTCCACTCTCTTTTTCATGATATGATCTCTAGATATGCAATTTTCTCATATAGTTAATAGGCTAGTTAATTTCTATACATACAAGGTAGGGCTCATTTGTTAAGTTAGTAAAGGCATAGATTTTATATTGATGTTAATTTGTCTCTTCCATCAATCAAGTATAAATGCTTTCATTTGGTTATAATGTGTTGAAATATGTATACATATATATTAATATAATGTAAATATGTATTAATTGATAATTCATTTATATATTAATTTAATGTTTAGTTTGCTGAATTTATATGGATTTTGATTACAATGTGGAGGCATTTCTCAAGTTGAACATAGAAAAGCATTAGAAGACTAAGTTTTTAGTATGTTTTCCATTGCAAATAAATTAAGAAAACACTGGATTAAATAAGTTTTAAAGATATATACCTTCAGGACAAAAGGTATCATTGGTATAATGTCATAAAATTCATTGTGAATCTCCAAGAAGTAAATAAAATATAAAAAAAATTAAACATATGACTATGAATTTTCTAATACTAAGATCTTGCTAGACATTAACTCACAGTGAAATCTAGAATGGCTAATATGTGAACATCAAAAACTTGTTAGTTAATTCATACTGATTGATTAAGCAAATTAATGACCAGAATATATCCAGTAACAAACGTTCATTCAATGACCTATAAACTCATGTTGATATAGTCTGAAAGTAAAACAGAAAGAATTGGAACAAAGACATATAGTGGCTAAGAAATAAAGCTACATCTATAATGAAGTCTCATTTTCATTTTCAATACGAGTGGCTCTAACGTAGCTCCCACCTCATCCACAGGAGATAAATTATAAAATCCCCAGTGAATGCCTGAAACAATAGATAGTACTGAACCCTATATATACTAAGACTTTTCCTATGTATACATACCTATGATAATGTTTAACTTATAAACTAGGCACAGTAAGAGATTAACAGTAATAACTAATAATAGAATAATTATAACAACATTTCAGCATCTCTACTCGTGCTTTGGGGCCCTTATTAAGTAAAATGAAGGTTGCTTGAACACAAACACTGTGTTACCACAGCAGTCAATCTGATAAGTGGGACAGCTACCAAGTGACTAACTGGTGGGTAGTTAGATGATGTGGACACATTGGACCGAAGGATGCTTCATGTCCTGGGTCTGACGGAGCAGGACTGCACAAGATTCCATCCCACTACTCAGAATGGCATGCAATTTAAAACTTATGAATTGCTTATTTCTGGAAATTTCAATGGAATATTTTCAGACAGCCTTGACTATGGGTAACTGTGAAACCATGGAAAGTAAAAGTGCAGATATGGGGGGGATAACTGTAGATGAAATTTCATAATAATCCATGATTTAAATGCATGATAATTTTATCTGTTTGATAAGAAGCTACATTCCTTTGCAAAAATTTAAACCAGAAAAGACTGGAGGACTATTTCAGGTTTTGTGGATATCAATAAAGGGAAGGTAATTTCAAAAGACATATATTCTTTGATTACAAGCTGAATTCAAAATAAGAAAATGGCCTGGGAATATCAATCCATTAAAATGTATATGTCAGCTTATTTTCTCACAATGTATTTTAAAATACTTTTGCCATTCTACAGGATATTTTATATTTTTTTATACCAGGAGGTAGAGGAAACTTAAGTATGCATCTGGTAGTGGCATAATGTGTTCTCTATGTATATTTTGTAAATCAATAAAAATAAATACCCCAAGGCTATAAAAAAGAAAAGCATTGTAAATTTACCACACCATACTCAGCATCTAATAAGACATGTGAAAAATTCAACTGGCATCTTGATAGGTGTTTTAAAATACTTTTTGCACCACCTTTGAATTTTACTTTGAAGTGAATTGATCCTAAGGGAGTTAAGAGTTGGACCTGAATGTGAGCCAACAGACACTCTATAAATATCCAAAAGCAAGGTTGCCTTTGAATTTTTTAAAGAAATAAAAATCACAGGAATCCAGACCTTCTGAAATGTTTTCCTTGCTCTTAGTTTATCTTATTTCCACCTTGTATTGTATGTAGGATTAACTTTGCTTTATAAATTCTTAAATGCATTTAACTTACACCTATAGCCTAATGATTTAGCCTTCTCTTATTATTGAGAGCAGGTCATCAGAACAAGTGCATAGTATTTTGGGTTTCTAGGCCTTTCATAAGATTATTCTAGAAGTCAGCTTTTTTTTGTGTGTGTGGCCTGAAATGTCAATTAGGACCAGTCCTGAGTCTCCTGCTGACTGTTCTCTATTTCTATACGTGGGAGTTTTCCTTAGAGAATGTCCATTTTCAGAAGTTTTTGTCTCACTGCTTCATCTGAGCCTGGTTTGCTTACCTTTGCAAAATGTATAAAACTCATATTTTTTTTTAAACTTTTTCTTAAAAGGTGGTTATTTTGTAACATCTATTTTAAAGTGTTTTTAAATGCTAAAACATGATTCCAGAACCTTGATTATTGTGTATTTCACTATTCCTTGACTCAACAATTTTATGATTGTCCTTGGTCCTCAAAGCTGTTGTGGTGACAAGTCCAAAACCATGTATCATAAATTTTGCGATGTGTTGCTTCTTTTTCCTAAGTGCTCCAGATATTGGTCATGTAGGTTTATGTTATTTGTTTTGCAAGAATAGGATTATGAGAATGAAAGTTGACTTCAAATGCAAATGAATTCCATATATGGAAAACAAAGATAATAGAAGACTCAAAGATATAACTTAAAGAGAAGAAGATTAAGCCTTAATATATGGAAAATTTTGAAACATTCATATTCCACCATGATACAGGATGTGTCTCATGGTATTTAAGCAGATGACAGATAATTATCTGGCAGAGGTATTACAGAATGAACTCTGGCACTGAGAGAAAAGTTATTCCAATTAATTTTTGAGAACATTTTGACTCTAATATTTAGTAATTTCAATATTCTACTGTAGAAAATTAATAAGGAAAATTCTATTCCTGGATATCCAGTATCCTGAAACACAAAACCAAAAATTTGTCACTAAAAAAACAAGTAAAAATGCACATTAAATATAAAACTTTTTAAGCTTTTTTTCTGACAAAAAAAGTAAAAGCAACAACTAAGATTGAAAAAGAGGGATGGAAATCAGACTTTCAAGCTGAAATATACATTTGAGCTGCTCTAGAGGATTTTGTTTATTTCGGTACACTAGAGGGTAACATATTTAAAGCTTACCCTAGAAACTGAGAGAAGGCATGGACCTTTAAAAAGTTAGTATTTTGAATGGGAAACACCGTCACAGGCAGTCACAGAACCAAAAAAAAGAAAAAAAGGACAGTCTTAAAAAGAACAGGTCACAGAAACAAATGAGATGATAAGGAAGAAATCTTTGTGCACCTGAGCAATGTATAACAAAAAGGTACCCTGAGAAATTTATAATCATAGAAGTACCCTTTAATACATCTAATTTCTGCATTTTCACTAACTGCTATCCCCAAACTCAGAAAAATATGATAAATTGAAATTAGCCCTGGGTATCTAGCAACCTCAGAACCTGTAATAAAAAAATGCAATATTCTCTGAAGAATATACTGTCAAGTTTCACAGGTTCTACTAAGCTCAACTGAAATTGAGCTCACAAAATGAAATTATAAAACAAAGGAGAGATTTTTGTATTTCAACAAAATGTTACCATATTGCTGACATTCTCTAGGATATTATGATTAATTTAGGTATCAATAACACAAGAAAAATTAGAGTGTTTGAAAATTATTCAACACAATGATAATTTATGAGTGGAAGAATATTAAAATTAGAAATATATTAGAATTAGAAAATACTAAGAGTAATAAAAATATAATGCCTGAGTAATGTTTGGATGTGATTGCTTGAAAAAGCTTTACATGTTTAAATTAGAAAATAATACTAAAAATTAGTGTAATTGTTGATATTGAAGAAGCTAACCAAATAAACTAAGTGGACTTTAAACAAGGCAATGAAAGAGAAGAAATTAGGGAAATATGAAACAAATATATATTTTAAAAAGCCAGTTGTCAAAGCCTAGTTCTTATAAAAGACTAATAATATATACAAAATTTTTTATGGTAAGTAAATTGAATTATTTTTTTCAAAATATTTGTGGGTTTTTTCATACTAAGCCCATTCCAACCTAATTATATAAAAATAAATAAATTTTTACTATTATAAGTTTCATTTTTTACCACATTATTAACTACCTGGTATAGAAATCAGCAATTGTATACGTGGACTTGCTACAACAAATATGTATGTATGACATTTGTCTCAGGGATAGACAGTAGAAGTTGGAAAGATGCTTACTTATTTTATGGAGCAATAAAATAATTGACAAAATATTGCTTGCCATTATATGGAAACAATATGGTATGTCTAGTGAATCCTGTCTTTAGGCCACTTATTCAGAACTCCAAATATCAGCAGTGTGTCTTGGTTACTATTTCCTGTTATTGGTTCAAAAGATGGGCCCAGAAAAAATGAGACAATATATAAAAAGAATGAAAAGAAACCAAGAGACACCTGAAATGTCCACAATTGTAACCATTTTGAGATGGCCAGGTGGGAAGGGATTCCTGGCAAAACTCCAACAGGCCTATGCGCTGGGAGGAGTGAGCACTGGGGTGGAGCCACAGAAGGTCTTGCGAGAGGAGTCTGGCCTCTCCTCTTCCTGGGTGGAACCTAGGATTCAACTTGTGAGGCAGGAAGCATGCTAGCAGGACCCTGGCCTTGCAGAAGGTCCCTGTTTCCTTTTTCCTTTTCACACAGTAAAACCTGTCCTCTTCACCCTTCAAATTATCTGTGAGCCTAATTTTTCAAGGCCTTATGACAAGGACTCCATTTTTAGCTGAACTAAGGAGAGAATCCTACAACAATTTCTCATTTCCAACTGGAGAAAGATTAAATCTGGAAGACTGATGTGTACATGTATGTGTGTTTTTGTGTATGTGTTTGTGTTTGTCAGGGCAAATGACATGCAGTAAAATAATTTTTAACAAGCAAACAATAAATTAAGCCCATTCATTTCTTGGATTGGTAAGTGCAAGAATTTTAAGTACGGTATGGTGTAGACTGGCCTTTAACTCTAATGTAATATTTTATTTTTTTAGATGTGTGTAGGTAGTTACGTTGATTTTATTATTAATTACATATTTCTGTACACATAAAATATTTTAAATGCTTTACAGAGGAAACAATTTTAAAAAGCTTCCTAGAACAGCGAATAATAAAAGTGAGCAGGATGATTTACTGTTATTAAAATGGTAACAAACATAATTTTTAAGGGACTGCAATGGGATTTCTAAAATTCCCTTGAAAATTCAGAAAGATATCAAACAAACGTTTATAAATTTGATTATAAAGTAAATTACATGTGGAATATTAGAAAATAAAAATAACTAAAGAAATAGATGTAAAAAGACTAAAATGATTATTTTTAAAGAAAATCTAAGAGGAAAACAGATAAAAATAGAATAAATTAATTGTGGTCTTTTGGAAATTTAGTGATTTAAAGTGAGTCAATTTGTTAAAATGAAAATATCATTAGTTAAGGAAGTGGGACGTACAGTAGCCTGCTAATTATGTTGTTTATTCACTTCTTACTCTGGTATTATTAATTTGGTATATTTATACTTATAGAATTATCACTATTATTAATATTTACACAACTAACACTTATTGAAAACCTACTGCATAACAAATACTATACTAAATACTGTGATCACAGTGGTTATTAAAGAGTCATTAAAATTTAAAGAGAATATAACCTTCTTCCCCACCCACACGCATGAAGACAAGTTAACAAATAAGTAATTACTATGTGAATACATGTTATGAAATGACTTATTAAGGCACAGCGTTCAGGAGTAACCAGTAGAACTTGACTAATGAAAAATATTGTTTACAAAAGATATTTCTGAGAAAGTTACTTTTGAGAATAAATCTTGAAAGACCATGTAGTCAGTCATTAGGTTTGTGTGGTGGTATGAAGACGGCTTCTAGAGCAGATCAAGCTGGGGAATGACAGAAACATTCGGTCATTAGTTAAGAGTTTGGATCATATTGTAGTTCTACTTTCAGTTTTTTTGAGGAACCTCCATACTGTTTTCCATGGCCACACCATTCTAAGTTCCCACTAATCGTGTGTAAGGGTTCCAATCTACATAAGCAAAATATGGCATATACATACAATGGAATATTATTCTGCCTTAGAAAAGGAGATCCTGCCATTTGCAGCAATGTGAATGAATCTACAGTCTGTTAGGCTAAGTGAAATAAGCCAGTTGCAGAAAGGCAAATGCTGCATGATTCCTCTTTGATGAGGTATCTGAAATAGACAAACTAATAGAACCAGACAATAAAATGGTGGGTAGCCGAGGGCTGGAGAAAGTGGGCCATGGGGAATAGTTTTTTAATTGTTGTAAAGCTTCTATTATGCAAGATGAATAAGTTCTAGAGATCTGCTGTACAATTTAGTATCTACAGTTAACAATATGGTGTTTAACACTTTAAAATATGTTAGGAGGATAGATCTCATATTACGTGTTCTTAACAACAACAACAGCAGCAACAATAACAACAACAAAATATCACCAAAGAAAAAAACACAAGGAAATGTTTAGGGGTGATGAGTACGATTAGTACTTTGGTTGTGATGATAGTATTATGAGTGTATGTATATGTACAAACTCATGAAAATGTACACATTAAATGGGTGCAATTTTTATATACCTCAATAAAGCTAAAAGGAAAAAAATCTAGAGTTGCCATTTTCAAATTGGAAGGAGGACCATAGACCCAGAGCACAGTGATGAATTGAGTGCCCGAAGGGAGATTGCAGAAGTAGGAGAGCCCAGGCAATCAGAGCCTCATGGTCTACTTCAGAAATGTTGGCTTTATTCTTAGTAAAAGGAAAGCATTGGCTACACTAAGGATGAAAGTGACATGTTTGATTTTCTGGTTTATAAGCCTCTGCTGTGCATGAAGATGAGAAACAGAAGCTTAGAATAAGGTAGGGACAGTATGAATTTGAAAAGTGGATAATTTGAGCTATATTTTGGAGTTATAAATGACATACTCACTGATAAATTATCTGTGACAATGAAGAAAGTAAAGAATCAAAACACTAGAAAATGTTATGTCTTTAATAACAGTGTATAGTAGTGTTGTTTATGGAGAAAGATGACTGGGAATATCAAGTTTGTAGGGAGATATTCTATGTTTTTGTTCATGTTTTGCTTTTGAAAAGCATTTAAATGTGAAATATTTTTATGACGGTAACATAGAGATTTTAAGTGATAAACTGAAAATTAGTCCCATTGGCAACTGAGTTATGAGATGGAAAACTGAAATTAAAACAGGTGTCACAACTTGCAAAATGTCTTCTGACTCACAAGACAGATAAACTATTCCAGACAGGACATGTTGTGCATCACAAACTAAGCTCGAACATGTTGGTATCATTTTTCTTTTGTTAGACCCATTGCTTGCAAAATAAGACCTGGGACAAAATGATCTAAGTGTAACACTTAATGGACTTAAAAGTCAAAACTGCTAACTATTTCAGCAACTCTCCAGTTTACAAATTTTGACCATTCTCTGCTTGAACCATCCTGTGACAAACTCCAGCAAATCCTATCCTTATCAGTTGCCTTTTTTTGAGAAGTCCCATGGTTTCCCATGATGTTTGTTTTCTCTTGATGGAACAAGGTAATGAACATAACACTCTCTCATTACAGATGTGTGTAAGTCTTTGGCCAGTGAGCTTTATCAAAGCATGTAGTTTTGTTCATAAGCCTGGAGCATAGAGGAGGCATTTTGCCTGGTGATAACTATAGCTTTATCAGGCTTGTGGTCTTTAATGAGGACAGCACCATGAAGAAGAGCATAAAGAATAAAGAATGTTGAGTCATGATAGATGAATGGGAGAGTATTTCAATCAGAAAGAGATCAAGTGTTGCATGCTGGTGGGAGTGTGGCAGATATGAAGGAAGGGAAAAAGACACTCAAGAGTATTTTGGCTGAGTGTATGCCTGAGGACCAAACTGAAGGTACAGCTAGTGAATGCAGTTGAGCTGGTATAGACATAGTACATAGATGATATTTTCCAAGACACTTTGTTGAGAAATGGAAGAGTAGCTTTATGTGGATGAAAAGTTATGTGGAATTTTAATGATTTTAGTGTGTTTGTATGCTAAAGGGGATGGTTCAAGATGCAGAAGACTAAAAGGATTATAAAAGTAGCTAAGTTTCTATAAAAGGTAAAAGTATATAATCCAGGACACAAAACTGGAGTTCTCTTTCTGTGGGAATAAGGACACTTCTTTAATTGTAAGAAAAGGAAAGGACAGGCCAGGCACAGTGGCTCACACCTGTAATCCCAGCACTTTGGGATGCCTAGGCGGGCAGATCACCTGAGGTCAGGAATTCAAGACCAGCCTGGCCAACATGGCGAATCTCCATCTCTACTAAAAATACAAAAAATTTAGCTGAGTGTGGTGGCAGGTGCCTGTAATCCTAGCTACTTGGGAGGCTGAGGCAGGAGAATTGCTTGAATCTGGGAGGCGGAGGTTGCAGTGAGCCAAGATCGCACCATTGAACTCCAGGATGGGCAACAAGAGAAACCCCATCTCAAAAAAAAAAAAAAAAAAAAAAGAAAGGAGAATACAAATATACAAATGCAACTTCAGAGAGGCTTACAGGTAGAGGGATCAGACAGGTTTGATCGACTTTTCCCTCCCTCTCTTCCTCCCTCCCTTCCTTCCTTTTTCTTCCTTCCTTCCTTTCTTCCCATATCAATTTTATGTGTGGGGAGAAAAGCCAAAAGATATAGTAAGTGTGAAGAAAGATAGCTATGTAATTGCTATCTACAAGAATATTTAAGCTTACTAGTGAAAGTCAATACTATTTCTAGGTAGTGTAGAAAAAAAACTTGAAATTTGAGACTGTGATATTAAAATGGAATAAATATATTTAACTTTTTTTCAAAATCATTCAACCATTTGTAAACATTTACAGAGATAAAAGATAGGAAATAAAAGAATCCTACAACAATTTCTCATTTCCAACTGGAGAAAGATTAAATCTGGAAGACTGATGTGTACATGTATGTGTGTTTTTGTGTATGTGTTTGTGTTTGTAAGGGCAAATGACATGCAGTAAAATAATTTTTAACAAGCAAACAATAAATTAAGCCCATTCATTACTTGGATTGGTAAGTGCCATCATGCCCTGCTAATTTTTGTATTTTTAATAGAGACGGGATTTCACCATGTTAGCCAGGATGGTCTCGATCTCCTGACCTCGTGATCTGCCCTCCTCGGCCTCTCAAAGTGCTGGGATTACAGGCGTGAGCCACCGCACCTGGCCCTAGCGCAGAGTAAATTTAAGCCACATGTGTCTCTCGTGCCTTGAAAAGAACATTTCTAAGGTCAGGGATCATATCTCTTTATTTTTAAGATGATAAATATATCAGAAGTTAGTGAAGAAAAACATGACTTTTTAACCATAATAGAGATATAATAATAAAGGTACAAACTGCTAAAGTAGCTGGACAGAAAAATGAAGAAAACAACATACTCCATGTGTAACACAGCTCAAATTAAAGGAGAATTTTGATAAAATGTTCCCTCAGATAAAAGTTTATTAGGGAAAGCCCATCTATTAATTAAGATAAAGGCCAAAGTTTAAAAGGTTGATTTTCTTAAATAATAGTTGATTCATAATAATAACATTCCCCAAAATATAATTTAACTTAGAAGATACAGTATTAGATAAAGAGATTTTTGATTTTGATGGTTTAAATACTTTCGTAAAATTTAAAACATGTACATTCTTTATAAAATTAATACTACACATAAAAATATATTTTAATGTGAAAATAATCATGAGTGAAGGAAAGAAGACCATTCTTTAGCCACTCATTCTATACTAGAATTCTTTTGAAATGAAATTTATGTTGTCCTAACTTTAAAGACCTGAACTTATTTTACCATTCTTACTGAGGAATAACAAATACATGTACCAAAGAATAATAAAAGCTTCATACATGCTCATAGTCCTATATTTCTAAAGGGATAGGTTTAGATCTTGTTCCTTTAAGCATGCCGACTTTATGCGCTATGATAAAAAATGCAAAATAATGTATGGTTAGAGTCAGCATGCACCACTCCATCCTTAGTCTTCAAAGCATTGCTCTGAGTTAGCCTGCTCATTAGAGTACCAAAGGAGACCAGCTTTCAAAAGTGACCACGTGACTGTGTACACAACTCCTGAAATGGTGCTCATAATGGTACTTAGGAGCATAATATGGATAATGATGCCACAAATGCCTGTATACATATGTGAATGTGGGACTCAAAACCACCATTAGCTACTATTTCTAGAATTTAGTTCTACAGTGCTACCAGCTGATTACACTTAGAATTGACTAAATATATAAAATATTTCAGACTAAATAAATAAAAAACCATACTGGTTTTAATTATTCAATCCTATCACTATAGGATATAAAATGACACATTATTATTTACATTGCAAAACAAATTTAAAACCATAAGGTAATGCTTATTCATTTCTGCATATATCCTATGCGTTATTTTACTGACTGTGTTACATTGAGCCCAGTAGGATGTTAATGTTGATTAAATAGACTATATTAGATTGACATTTTGTGGAAGAGGAGAACGAGAATGTGACAAGTTTTTCCTTTGAGATTTTTGTTTTATTTTGTTTTGCATTGTTTTAAAAGACATCTTTCATAATATAACATATTTAAAACTATTGAACAACTTCAAAACTGACATGTTTCCAGTATGATTTGTAAAAGGTTATTTCTAGCAAATCTAAAAACACAGTGTATTTTATAATTCATGAATCAGATAAAACAACATTTAATATTGGTATAAAAGCTACAGAATTGTAGGCACATAGTAGAAATTTTGAGACATGGAATTTTTCTTGCATCCTCAAAGAAGTAGTATTGTCTTTGATGAATCTAAAAATGCATTTATTTTCATGAAACATTGGAATTACTGTTCGTGTCTCATGATGTCTTTTCTTTTCTTTTTTTTTTTTTTTTTTGAGACGGAGTCTCTGTTGCCCAGCCTGAAGTGCAGTGGCATGATCTCGGCTCACTGCAACCTCTGCCTCCCGGGTTCACGCCGTTCTCCTGCCTCAGCCTCCCAAGTAGCTGGGACTAAAGGCGCCCACCACCTCGCCCAGCTAATTTTTTGTATATTTAGTAGAGACGGGGTTTCACCGTGTTAGCCAGAATGGTCTTGATCTCTTGACCTCGTGATCCACCTGCCTCGGCCTCCCAAAGTGCTGGGATTACAGGCATGAGCCACCGCGCCCAGCCATGATATGCTTTCATGTAGATAACAACAAAATATATTGTATAAAGAACAAGAAAAACAGTTCTGTGATGTTGAGTTGTTATATTTAGTGGTTTCCTCAAAAATGCCAGTATTGACTTGAATATATATATATGTATATATACATTTATACAAATACATATACAAATAAAACCTCTATGACTACATTTAATCACGTTCACAAAATGACTACTTATCCATAGAACAAAAATTTAAATATGTTATTGATACAAATAACTATATGGAGGTTTACACTATGAATCGTTAAGGTTTATTTTCAATTAAAAATGGACTAATCCAAGCTCTTTTGTATTTGAAAACGTATTTCCAACTTACTTCAAAGGGTTGCTTTTAACTTATAATGAGTTAATAGACACAAATCATTTAGTGACTTCCAAAGGAAACTTAATTATTTTGTCTTCCAGTTCATCTATTTATTCACACCTGCAATGCATGAATATATCTGTGTAGTGCTTTCCTATATAACATCTTATTTACGATTTTAAAACTATTGTATATTTTTATTCCAATGTTAGAGGTATAAAACTGGAGCTCAGACTCAGACAAACAAATGCACACTTTATTCAATATTAAAAGGCAAACAATAAGCACACTGAGGATTTCTACCGTTCCAAGCTTAGTGCACCTTTTTCTCCACCATGGTACCCCTTGGTACACTCAGACCTGCACACTCATACCTGAAGCTCTGAGCATGTTATTTCCAGCAGCTTCATCCCACATCCTTCTTCAGAAGGCTGCTCCTGGGATTCTGTAGCTGTTTCACCAAGAACTCATAGAGAGCAGAGAGCGCCCAGGCAGGAGTGCAGAGTGTTACCTTGTAAGAAAGCCTAGACAGCCTAACAGTAAAGCATATTTCGAACTCCAGAAGTCTTCCTAGGATAAGGCTGAGGCTAAGATTTTACCTGAAACTGTGCTCTTGCCTTGAGTGTTCCACTTCCCTATTCTGTCTTTCCATTCCCTTCTTGATTTTTCCTAGCAAAACGTCCACAAAAAGTCACTTGCACCTTGACCCATATCCCAGGGTCTGCCTTAAGAGAACAAGGATCAGCTGGGGAAATTTTTAGAGATCCCTAAGCCACACTCCCAGAGATTCAGATTCAGTAGGTCTGAAGGGTGGTCTGAGAAAATGTAATTTTAACAAGCTCGGGTTGATGCTGATCCTGACAGTTCATGGCCCACACTTTGATAGCTCCTTTGTAGAGAGCCTAAATCAAGAAAATGTCATATTCTTTCCATGTTGTGCAAATGACTCAATTTTTTTTCTTTTTATTATTATACTTTAAGTTTTAGGGTACGTGGGCACAATGTGCAGTTAGTTACATATGTATACATGTGACATGCTGGTGCGCTGCACCCACTAACTCGTCATCTAGCATTAGGTATATCTCCTAATGCTATCCCTCCCCCCTCCCCCCACCCCACAACAGTCCCCAGAGTGTGATGTTCCCCTTCCTGTGTCCATGTGTTCTCATTGTTCAATTCCCACATATGAGTGAGAATACGCGGTGTTTGGTTTTTTGTTTTTGCAATAGTTTACTGAGAATGATGATTTCCAATTTCATCCATGTCCCTACAAAGGACATGAACTCACCATTTTTTATGGCTGCATAGTATTCCATGGTGTATATGTGCCACACTTTCTTAATCCAGTCTATCATTGTTGGACTTTTGGGTTGGTTCCAAGTCTTTGGTATTGTGAATAGTGCCGCAATAAACATACATGTGCATGTGTCTTTATAGCAGCATGATTTATAGTCCTTTGGGTATATACCCAGTAATGGGACGGCTGAGTCAAATGGTATTTCTAGTTCTAGATCCCTGAGGAATCGCCACACTGACTTCCACAGTGGTTGAACTAGTTTACAGTCCCACCAACAGTGTAAAAGTGTTCCTATTTCTCCACATCCTCTCCAGCACCTGTTGTTTCCTGACTTTTTAATGATTGCCATTCTAACTGGTGTGAGATGATATCTCATTGTGGTTTTGATTTGCATTTCTCTGATGGCCAGTGATGGTGAGCATTTTTTCATGTGTTTTTTGGCTGCATAAATGTCTTCTTTTGAGAAGTGTCTGTTCATGTCCTTCGCCCACTTTTTGATGGGGTTGCTTGTTTTTTTCTTGTAAATTTGTTTGAGTTCATTGTAGATTCTGGATATTAGCCCTTTGTCAGATGAGTAGGTTGCAAAAATTTTCTCCCATTTTGTGGGTTGCCTGTTCACTCTGATGGTAGTTTCCTTTGCTGTGCAGAAGCTCTTTAGTTTAATTATATCCCATTTGTCAATTTTGGCTTTTGTTGCCATTGCTTTTGGTGTTTTAGACATGAAGTCCTTGCCCGTGCCTATGTCCTGAATGGTAATGCCTAGGTTTTCTTCTAGGGTTTTTATGGTTTTAGGTCTAACATTTAAGTCTTTAATCCATCTTGAATTGATTTTTGTATAAGGTGTAAGGAAGGGATCCAGTTTCAGCTTTCTACATATGGCTAGCCAGTTTTCCCAGCACCATTTATTAAATAGGGAATCCTTTCCCCATTGCTTGTTTTTCTCAGGTTTGTCAAAGATCAGATGGTCGTAGATATGCGGCATTATTTCTGAGGGCTCTCTTCTGTTCCATTGATCTATATCTCTGTTTTGGTACCAGTACCATGCTGTTTTGGTTACTGTAGCCTTGTAGTATAGTTTGAAGTCAGGTAGTGTGATGCCTCCAGCTTTGTTCTTTTGGCTTAGGATTGACTTGGCAATGTGGGCTCTTTTTTGGTTCCATATGAACTTTAAAGTAGTTTTTTCCAATTCTGTGAAGAAAGTCATTGGTAGCTTGATGGGGATGGCATTGAATCTATAAATTACCTTGGGCAGTATGGCCATTTTCATGATATTGATTCTTCCTACCCATGAGCATGGAATGTTCTTCCATTTGTTTGTATCCTCTTTTATTTCATTGAGCAGTGGTTTGTAGTTCTCCTTGAAGAGGTGCTTCACATCCCTTGTAAGTTGGATTCCTAGGTATTTTATTCTCTTTGAAGCAATTGTGAATGGGAGTTCACTCATGATTTGGCTTTCTGTTTGTCTGTTATTGGTGTATAAGAATGCTTGTGATTTTTGTACATTGATTTTGTATCCTGAGACTTTGCTGAAGTTGCTTATCAGCTTAAGGAGATTTTGGGCTGAGACAATGGGGTTTTCTAGATATACAATCATGTCGAAATGATGCAATTTTTAAAGGTTGAATAGTACTCCACCATTGTGTACAAATGCCACATTTTCTGTATCTATTCATCTGTTGTTGGACACAAGTTGATTCCATTACTTGGCTATTGTGAATAGTGCTCCAATGACCACGGAATTTCGGGTATCTCTTCACAATGCTGATTTAAAATCTTTTTTTAGTAAATTTTGTGGATCATACGGTAATCCTATTTTTAGTTTTTTGAGGAATCTGTACACTGTTTTCAATAATAGCTATGCTAATTTACATTCCCATCAACTGTGTACAAGCGTTCCCTTTTCTCTACATCCTGGCCAACATTTGCTATCTTTCATCTTTTTGACAATAGCATTCTGATAGGTATGAGATGATAGCTCATTGTGGTTTTAATTTGCATTTTCCTAATGATTAGAGATATTGATAATTTTTTCATATATCCGTCGGCCATTTATATGTCTTCTTTATAAGCCAGGCACAAAAATAAACAAATGCCACATGTTCTGACTTACATAGCAACAGAGTAGAATGGTGGTTCCTAGAGGCTAGAAAGTTGGGAGGAATGGGGAGATAATGGTCAAAGGGTACACAGCCTCAGTCAGACAAAAATAGTATTTTTTTGAATTCTTTGCATAGTGTGGTGAATATAGTTAATAATAGTCTGTTGTATATTTCTAAGAGTAAGTTTCATATATTCTCAACACAAAAGAAGATAACTAATTGTGGTAATTGATATGTTAATTAGCTTGATTTGATTATTCCACAATGTATTCAGAAATCATAAACTCACTTTATTCCCCATAAATATATACAACTATGTTTTGTCAATTTCCAATAGAAAAGATAATATTATAAAGAAGCGGTTTTCTACCTTTGCCGTTAATCTGAATCCCCAGAGGGCTTGTTAAAACAGTGTCAGGCACCATTCTCATAGTTTTAGATGTGACAGACAAACTGCTTTTGATTTCAGAGAAATTCAGTTTTAACTATCAAAATGAAAAGAATTACATTGATAATTATCTTGATAGTAGAAAAAATAATTTTATAAAAGTTAAAATTTACTTAAAATTTACAATATTTTCTATTATATTATTCTAAGGGTAATTTTTTTACTGCATTTTTAGTTGCTGCAAAGATGGATATCTTATTTCTCACTAACATTGCTATATTATCACATGATATCAGATGGCATTAGTTTGGCAATATGGATTGTGTGAAGAAGAATGAGGGAAAGGACTTGCTGAAATGAACCCATTTATGGCTCAGATGAGTGTCAACAGCAAAATAAGTGTTACAGCCATCTAAAGCATGATATCATTCTTGATCATTATATATACAGATATAGTTATGTTCATTCATATGACTATAAAAGTTGATAGTTAATATTGTTATGTATTACTGATTATATGGTATTAATTTTCTTATTCTTGAACCACTAGATCTTTAGAAATGCATAGGAAAAGACAATACACACACTCATACAAGTATATGTGCACATTCACACACACGCACACACACACACATCAAAAATGATAATTGGTGACCTTGCTGTACAAAAGCAGGCCAAATTTTGCACATTCATAAATAAAATGCACAATTGAATTTATTGATAAAATAGTCACTTTAATGCCTAAGACAAATAATTCTTCATTATGTTATTGGATTAATACTGTACTATAAATATATTTGCATAAAAACCTGTCAAATTATCCGTGTTGTTTGTCCTTAAGCACAATTTTCATACATAAAGCATTTCATTGTAGGTTGCTTTTGACCTCTCTGTCAGTGTAGAAGCAATACTATGAAAAAATGTTATGACAGCATAATAGCTTTTTTAAAAGAAATAATCAGTGAATATAAAACTTCTGTGGAGAAACCTATTAGCTAGAAGATAGTCTATTGTAGCCAGCAATAGGGGTTTTGATAAATAAAAACAGATATTTCTGACATTAGTATTATAAATTTAAGATCAGATATATTAATATACTTGAAAATGTCAAGCTTAAGGATCATGTAAATGTTAATTGTTTAGGATAGACATTTATCAGTATTGTTTTTATCCATCTGCTATATTATCTCAACATGTGACATATTGGTATAATTTGTTGCAGGTTACTATATACACACAAATGACACATAAAATGAAACAGATAAAAAAGAAATACTTCAAAATTTACCCTAGAATTTCAATTTGTGTAGAGGTTGTTCCATATGACTCCTTTTCTGCTCCGTTTAGGCATTCAAAAGTGACATTGACGTTTTACATCATAAAAAGCAATATTTCATTTTTAGGACAGGTCAAGGGATGGTAATGATAGATTTATGACTATGTCAAGATCGTTAAACAGATAAAAATGCAGCAGAATGTCAAGAAATCCTTAGCTCTTCACATACTCTGAACCTTACATCTTTGTAGGTGACTTTGATCTTAATTCCTATCCAGAGCATCTTACCTCACAGCTACATTTGTCAGATTTCTTACAGAACACTTCAACACTGGGAAATTTTGAAGATTCTTTTTTTTAAAAATTGCCTTTAAGTATTACACTAGGGACAGACAAATGAGCCATTTGTTCCCATGTCCCATTTAAAGGCAAAGAACATACTGAGTACATTAAGGGAGACATGAGCAGCCAGAATACCCAAGCTGGGAAAGACGATGCTATGAGGCAGTGATTGAAACCCATTTTACCCTGAATTGACTTAGTATTAATCATGCAATTATGAGCCAGTTTTACTGAATGTGTATATTTTTATTTGTATTATATTTATGTGCAACTTAAAAACTATTCATAATTATTAATAATAAATTCTCATTTTCCTAAATGCATGTTATGCAAGTGGGTACATTTTATGGAAACAAGTATATATATTGATCTGCTAGCATGAAGTACAATGATAAATAAACTTGTTATAAATTCACAGCAGAAAGCATTTCTGTTTACTTATATGTTGTTGTTGTTTACCTTACATTACTATAAACAATTTCAATTTATGACATAAATACATTATTAGGAAATTATTTATTTAGTATATATATGTTCAATACAGACATGGTTCAATGAGCTTATCAGTTTGCAAATATGAGAGGACATGTTAATAGAACATATAATTAATTTAATTTAAATATAAAAAATATTTAATTTTAATAAAGAGTGATAATTCTCCTAAGATTAAAAAAAAACTAGCATAAGTCTTTTTCTGTTTTATTTCAAGGGGTAATTTTTCTTATTTTTCTCCAATATTCTGACATATGATGAAGATTTTATGCTAGCAATTGTAAAAATTATTTGTATAATTAATACGTACTAGTTAGGATGGATGTGTTGTTTCAGAGTAACAGACATAATATGGAAGTGACTTTAAGCAGATCCTAAAGGTTGACCACGGGAAAAGGGAAAAGGAGCAACTGGGCATTATAGACATGCTGGGTGATAGTCTGAGCAAAGGAAAGGAGCTAGGGACTGGCTTGAGGCTTATTAGAATGATGCCACCATGTTTTTCAAGAATTGAGTCATATTTGTCCTATTGTTTTAGGAGTTATTAAGAAATTATTTTAGGCAGAGAGGAAAAGGGGTCCTTGGAAAGATTTTTGTCTCTTTTAAAGCAGCTCCAGAAATGTTTCTTGTCTAGCAGGAAACCCCCAGCTCTTAGAGCCAGGCAGGCAACCTTTGATATGCAAATGCAGGCCATTAAAAACTGGGTCCACCCAAACATGGCGATTCCCGCCCTCTTCTTGCCCTTGCCCTCACAGATTCCTGGCAACATGGCCGCCCCCACATATCTCCACTTGTGTAGAACATCATGGCGTCCTGCATTTGCATATTAAAAGGCTAGTGTGGGAGGGCCAGTTTTTCACGGGCTCCCCGGGAATAACATGCCTGGTCAAACTAATCCCCTGAGCCCTGTGCAAACCAGACACCACCTCCTCCAGCCTCCTAGTATAACTGGCTGGTTTCCGCGGCACTCGGGGTTTTCCTCTCTTGGCTTCAGAGTCCCTCTCCCTATGTCTCTGTTTTGGGGAGCTTCTTCCTTCTTCCTTGCCTATTAAACTCTCTGCTCCTTAAGACCACTCCACATGTGTCCATGTTGTTTTATGCAATTTGACTGGAGACAAAGAACCCTGGTGTTCCTCCACTCATCGAAGCTATATCACTATCATTATTGCCTTCTGGGCCTGTTTCAAGTATTTCTAAAAAGTGTGTGTATATGTTTGGGTGTACATCCATGTATGAGTGTGTATGTACAGATTTGACTAATAGAATAAATTGATTGAATGCAAAGTTATCTCTATTAGATAGGTTCCTTGATCAAATTTAGCTCTAGGTAGAAACTTTCAGATTGGAAGGATTTACTCATGGGTTCTCCTTTGTAATGATAAAATATTAATCCAACATACAGAATGCTGATGCCATTAAAAAGTGACTTTTTCCATGTATGTATTTTATAAATGTCATTGAAATATAACCCAAATAACTCAGTACAAATAAAGTACTTGTCTCTCCCCCGTTTTTTTGGAGAATTTTATTCTTGGTTATAATCTTATTAATAGAAACTACTATATGCCCACAAATAAGTTCTGTAGATGCCTTTACTCAGACCATAAACAACATAAATTCAGTGATATTTCAAAGTTTTATTTCCTGTTATTAATATTGTATACTATTTGGATTTATTATCTGATATCTTTATTTCTCCATGCTATCTTGAAACTTTAAAAAAAGCATGAATTTTTCCAGAGGTTAAGAACAATATTTGTAAATTCTAAAGCAAATTTTTATTAATATTAATAAAAATGAACATAAAAAATAAAAATATGTATATATCTATGACAGAATATTATTCAGCCATTAAAAATAAGGTACTTCTGTCATTTGCAACAACATGGATGGAAGTGGAGGACACTATGTTAAGTGAAGTAAGCCAGGCACAAAAAGACAAATATCACATCTTCTCACTCATGTGGATGCTAAAAAAATTGATCTCATGGAGGTAGAGAGTAGAATGATAGATACTAGAGTCTGGAAAACGTAGGTAAGAAAGGGGTTGGTTAGTGGGTACAAATACACAGTTGGAAGTTATAAGGTCTATTGCTTGGTAGTATAATAGGTCAACTTTAGTCAACATTAATTTAATTATATATTCCAAAATAACTAGAGAAGTGGATTTGGAGTGTTCTCCACACATCACAGTTTTAGAGCATCTTATTTTATGTTATTACCTTATAAACCAACATAAATTTTCAGAAACAATTTGTAAAAAAAATTCCACACATCTCTTTCCTTCATAAATTACCCAGTCTTACATAGTTCTTTACAGCAGTGTGAAAATGGTGTAATAGATCATTCTGAGGAGAATTGGTCACTTGTTAGCCAACTGGAGCTCTCTGATGTTTCAGGCTATAGACAGGTCTGCAGGGTGTGCAGTGGCTTGGGCTCTGTTCTTAGCTCCAGATGGTTATTGGGTGAAGCTGGACCAAGCTGACTTGCCCTCTCATCTCCCAGCAGTGGGTACCAGCACATGTTCTGATGGAAGTGTCAGGGGGAGTGACATAGACTCTGTACGATTTTAAGGTTATAAAGAGCCTTGGTTTGCTGGCTTTCTCAAATGCCAGCTGTAATTGTAAGGTACTGGGCTTGTGGACAGGCTCAAGACCTCTTGGGTAGCTGGGGCGATGTAGCCAATGATAATAGCTGAGGTTGCACAAGTTTTCTTCTTCCTGAGCACTGTTATTGTGCCTGCAGGTGCTGTGTGGGCTGTGCCATTTGGCCCCCGGCCATGAGGTGGCACTTGGAAAAGAGCAGTAGCCACAGCAGTAGCAGTGGGATTCGTGCTTGCCTTATGTTACACAGGGGAAGCACTTCGGTGTCTCAGGCAATGAGTGGGGCCATGGAGCTCTCTAAAGTCCCTGTTTGTTGTGAGAAGCCACCAGAGTGGGTGGTTGGGCAAAGCCAGGTTGGGGGTCAGTCAGTCAAGTTCATGCTGTGGCTCCCCGTACTGCACAAGCAGCAGCCCCAGTGGGGATCAGAGGGCAGTTATCCATGGCCGCTGGGGTAAATTCCAGGGAGGAACACAACTCTCTGCTACACAAAAGACTCCATTCAGGGAGAGGAGGAGCAGGTGGCAATAAGCTCCACCCAACTCCCATGCACTTGACAAGGCAAGTCTCACACCTGTAATGTTCTGTAGCAACAGCTAGCTGAGTTCCAGGCTGCCTGCACTCAGAAGGCAAAACCACCCCAGGCCACACAAGCCTTCATAGGGAGACAAAAACTGCAGCATTCAGGCCCCTCCTCTCCCAGTTTACCCATGAATTAAGGGTGCCCAACCCCTGCACCTATGGCTAGAGCACACTTCCCACTTGACTGTCAGTTCTGGACAAGAAGGTTCATTCTCATGCAAGATTATATCACAAATCTTAGTTGGGAGCTTCTCTCAACCTATGACTGCTGCCTGAGTTAGCTGGCAGACTTCCCACAAGGTCCCTTATAGGAGGGAGGATCAGGAATGGCTTCCCTCCGTTTCTGATAAGGTCTGGGAGTATATGCAAAGCACATCCTAACCACACCCTTTCTCATATACTTCCCACAGTTCACTAAATCAGCTCAAGGTAGGGTTAAGGCACTTTTCCATGGCCTGGATTGCCCGGCTTCCCAGTGGGAGGGTATATCATGGAGAGAGTCTCCCCCTTTCACACTCTGGAGACTTACAATTTTCTGCCTGGCTTTTGGTGTAAGCTGCTGCCTGCTGCTACCTTCAAAGTGCCAGTGGTTTCTTTCAGTTTTTCTGTTGAGTTCCTGTGTTGCTTCCCGTATAAAAGTTCACAGCGTGAATCTGCACACAATTTTGTCTTTCCAAGTGGGAAAGGCATGTTAACAAGCCAGCCTTTTTGATGGAATTTGTGTTTCCAGGGATACAGGAGCAATTGTAAGACAGTTTCAAAGCTGGATCATATCTCCACAGGAGATTTACAGAAATTCCAAATTATTGGGGAAAAAAACACAGAAATGAATTAGAGTCTTATGTTCATAAGAAAGATGTCTCAGTGGAATTTCTGATCCATCTACTGCTATGTCATGTGAAACTAACAAAATATAGGTATTATGTCAGGAGAATGTTACCTTATTAGTGAAATAAACAGGTCTCTGATATGTCAAGAAATTACCAGCAAAATATCAAAGGAAACGTTCGAACTCCACAGCACAGTTGGAGCATGAGTAAAATTAAATTTAAAAATGGGTAGTAGTGATTACACTAAAACATAAGTGTAAGAAATGTAATAAGCAAACTGCAGACAAAAACCCAATCTAGAAGAATAAATAACCTGAAAACAGGAGGAAATTCCCCAAAGCCACACCAAAATACATGGGTCAAGTTAATAAGAACAATAGCTACATGAAACACGAGAAGAAAGAAACTAACAGATAAAATGATATAATGGTAGATTTCATACCTCAGAAGGCATGTTAAGCAACCAAAACCATAATTTTAGGACTCTTTCATCTTAGAAACTTTAAGGAATAAATAGCTATAGTGGAAAAACAACTTTCAGACAGAGATATAGCTTGATATAAATGTAATTCATCCTGATAAAAAATAAAATGTGAATGTTTATAAATATGTACATAATTATGGAAAAATATGATTGATCAAAAGACTAAATATTGCCCTAAATTGGAAAAGAAAAAATATAAACCGAATTATAGGAGAAGAAGGATACTCTCCTCTCAGAAAAGTTTGGTTAGAGCTGCTTTTCCTCCCCAGCATCTACTTGTAATAGACGGAAATTAAAAGTTAATGAAAACAATAGATACCTGATCAGTCAAAAAAAAAAGTCACATACAAGTTAGAAAAAAAATCAACCATGTATGAGAATTTCTTCTACAATAAAAATAGAGAAAAAAACTGTAACACCTAAAAAAGTTAAAAAGAAGCTGTTTAACACTAGGAATTAATATACTCAGACAAGACTATATACATATATTTATTTATAAATATTTATTGAAATATTTAAATATATATTTTCTATAAACATATTGAATATATATTTTCTATAAACATATTGAATATATATTTCTATAAATATATATTTCTGTAAATATATATTCAGTATATATTTCTATAAATATATATTGAAAAAATATATAAAATATATATAATATACAAATATATTTTAATAAATATATTGAAATATTTAATATATATTTATAAAAATATATTTATATTTGTAAAAATTTATATTTATAAAAATAAATATTAATATTTCGATGTATATTTATGTATACAGTTATATATAAATGTTTAAATATTTATACATATATTATGTATATTTCATATATATATATATAAAAAATCTTTGGAAGATGGAAAAAGAGTATGAGGAATCCAGATGAAAAACCTATAGTGAATGGTGAATACATAATGTTCTGCTCCTATCCAGTGCTCTTCCTTTTGAGCTCTAGTTGCAATATTAAGTACCATGTCAAAAAATAATGTATCAAATCACTTATGACAGCTGTGTGTTACCACATTGATTATAAAATTAAATATATAAATATAAATTCTTAGGACTTTGCTTTATTGCTGGGAAGACTGCCTGTCAGACTTTCAATTCAGAAATGCAGTGACAACTTTTGATGGTGTGTGGGCACAGAAAGAATATTTTTCTGCAGTGGTTGAGTCAAAAAAAAAAGGTGTTAAAAAGAACCATGTCCTCTGCCTTTAACCTTTTCTTCTTTTGGCTGACACTGTGCTAAACTTTTTTTCTTCGCATTTCTGAGAGCTATTTTTTCTCTCCAGTTGCTAAAACCATAGACTTCTAATGAAATCTGGACCTATTTTCTTTCTGCTTGCGGCCCCTTTGGGGACAAAAAAAATAGATCCTAAGTGTGATTCTCTAAGATTTTGAAATATTTTATAACATGGTAGATTATTACACAGATGTTGTGCAATCTTAACAAAACCTCTATGTATTACAACAAGAAAATTATTTTTGATAGGAGTAGGCTATGAGAGTGGACAGAAAATACTGTATAATGCTTCCAAAATTTTTTACAAGGGTACAATATTAATAATTTTTGCCACATTCACACATAAGTGAAGTACATTAAGTGCATTTGCCAAGAAAGCTTCACTATTCTAAATAGCTGGAAAATGGGTATCGTGTCATATACAAAAAGTAACTATACAATTAATCAAAATTATACTTGGTTCTATGTCCATGAACCATCTAAACAATCTACAAACAGTTAATGGTCCTACAGGATGGAAATTTGGCTTAGGAAATTGGGATGGGGAAAATATCTTGTAGGTTACCTGTAGAGAATATTTGACATCATTTAAATGAACTGAAGAGGGATTTATCTGTATATATTCTCATTCTATATTTACATCAGAAACAAACATCAAATGGATAATAAAAGCAAATACTAAGAGACATTAGCTTAGCTATTAAGGAGGAATTAGTCATTTTTTTCACCTAACTTCCATAAGAACAACAAAGTGTAGTGAATATCCTTTTTACAAGTGAAGAAATTGAAGCTAGAGGTAGCTACTTGTGAAGACTTGCAAGACTATTAAATTTGTAAAGCTTGCACACAAATCTTAAGTTTTTCCCTTCGTTCATCCCCCAGACCTGATCGTAATGTCTAAACATTTGAGGAAAGATGGACACTATTACCTAGGAGACTGGAGCAAACGACCTGTTCAGATCCTTTACAAACCAAAGATCTTATTGAATAGTTACAAGTCTATAGGAGTTTTCAAAGAGAGCCAAAAGACTGAAGACTAAAAGGAAGAAAAAATCATAGACAGCAGAAGTACTGTTTCCTTTAACAGACATAAAGTCTGCCAATCAAACCAAATATTGATTTTCTCTTGTTTGTTGTCTGGCTTCCGTGTTAGAGCTTCTGATGGTTAGTGGTGTAATTCTTCCCCTCATGCCTTTGTGGTTACCAGAAGAAATGTCAGCAATGGTAGCATATTAGTTGCCCATGGCCAGCATTTTCAGTTCCTTCATATTGTGTACCATGTAATTCCAAAAGCCACTGGGCAACATTTGCTTTGTTTTCTTGTTGTTTCCATAGTTAATGTTGGTCATTAATATCTGGCCTTTTAACTATCTCTGTATCTGTTATTAGTGCTTAGTACTTAGTTTTGACATAGTGACTGACTGGTGATGGACTAACTTCTTGGGCCTCCTTTTGATTATCCTAAAATTCATGAGTGATCCCATGGTGCCATCTCGTTAGTCAATTCTGCCCAAGTTATAAACTTGAAATTGACTTTTAAGAAGTCTACTCACGTTTCAAGCAATCACTCTTTAGGTCTGAAATTTAAAATGTATGCTAACTTTGTTTACATATTTTTAACTACTTTTTGTTGGCTTGTTTTAAATGCCTGTTTGTACAGACATCTGGATATGAATATCCAGAGGGAGAGTAAGTTGTCGGCAATGTCAGAAGTAATTTATAATTGTATATATATTCTTGTATGTATATAGAAAGAAATACATATAAGTGACTTGTCATAGATGTGAAACTAAACAACAAACAAATATAAATGTTATATTTGGTTTGCTCAGAAAATGAAATCAAATAATGAATTCCAACATGACTTCAATGTTTTGAGTGTCCAATCTAATATCATTATTAATCAATGAACAAATATGCATTCAGTATGTGATGAATAATTGCCAAAGTCTCACCACTGTGATAGGCAGGCTTTACCACTAATATGACACCAAAGAAGAAAAGACTATGTGAAAATAATTGAATAACTAAAAATAATAACCAGACTAGGTTTAACCATGTTAAATTTGTGATGTTTAAGTACTGCATTCTTAGCTTAAAATATATATATATATGAATGTTTAGAAATACTTTGTGATAGTGTATGTTTTAGACAAAAAAATAAAGGTAATTGAGTCTGTTGAGTATTTTTATATTACATCAGTAATATTTTATTGTTTTTCAACTAAAAACTCAAGAAGTGGCTTGTTATAAAATATTTTTGCTAAAGACCCAATAATATTTATGTTTATATTTGTATCTATAAGTTTATTACATTTATTAAAAACAAAATAGAGTCTTCACAGTTAATCAAGGCTGACTAGGCTCTCAGATCGAAAGTTTGTCTAACATCTTCATTAATATGGATTCTAGCTATTCATCACTTTTAATCTTTTGCTCTTTATTTCCACTTGGAAGAAGCTCATCATTATATTTTCCTGACAGTTAAAATTAGACTATAAGACCCGAGATTTTGTGAAGAAGTTGAATATTCTCTCCTCCTTTGTCCTCAGAAGCAAATTGTATGTCATTAGAGCATTATTAAACATGATTTTAGTTTTCTATCCAAGAACAGGACATTCCCTGTTCTTGGATAGAAAGAATGTCTTCTTTCACTTTTTTCATTCAAGTTTTATAATTTTATGACATAAAATCTGAACAGCTCTTGTTAGCTGTATTCCTAAATACTGTGTGTCTTCTATCTGTTGGTGGTGCAATTGACTTTTGTAGATTTGCCTTATTTTTATTTGACCAATATAATTTTTATTAATTTTAAATATTTTGTTGTTAATTTTAAAATCATGTTTGCCATGAAGACAGTCATAATTTAATACTCTTCAAATAATGAACATTTTATTACTTTCTTTGCAGAAGTTATTTTTAATTCATTTTTAAATTTTGCACTGTCATGTATTTTCATTAGAATGTTGTAGGAGTGAAAAAGGCAGGCTGCTTTGACATGTTCCCAATTTTAAAGAACACAAATTCAACAACTCACCTTCATACATTATTTTTCCATACACATTAACTTCTATAATTATTGTAAATATAATTACTCAAGCTATAGAGTTTTTATCTTATTCTAAGATTTTAAGGATTATTATCATGAACCATTATTGAATTTTATTCATTTTTTTGAATGTATGAAAATTATAATATTTTCTCCTTTATACTAAAGTAGATGGAAAGATTTCTTACTGGAGATAAAATTTGCATTCCTGAAATATCCAACAATTAGTATTTTTTGTTTTTTAAATCTGCTTAAGATTATTGCATCGAAGTTTATAAGCTAGTACTTGAATAATTCTAACTGACATCAGAAACGCATGTTTTCCATTATTGCCTATAGTGCCTCAATATGATCCAAAGATTACCATGGTATATGTTCACCAGCAGGTATTTCTATGTTATATAATTAATTTAAATTAACTGTACATAAAGAGAGTAATAATAAATTCAATGCCTATTATAAATATACATCATAATATTGTGGACCTATTGAAAGAACCCACAGTTGTGTACATGTTCATTTATGTCTCCATCTATCTCTATTCCTGTATCTTTATCCATCTTCTATGTCTCTATCTGTCATCCAGCATCTATCTATCTATCTACCGATCTATGAATGCACCTACCATTTATCTATGTATATATTTATGCCTACAGTATGATGAGTATAACTGAAGCACATATTGCTGGATGCTACAGAGAAAATCACATGGAGAATAACACTAATGGACATGTAAACACACATCGATAAATACAATACAATTAGCCCTCCAGGTCAGTGAATCCACATTGTGAATTCAACCAACCATGCATGGTAATTTTTTTCTTTTAAATTAGCTCTTTACTAAACCCATATAGATTTTTTTTCTAGACATCATTTGCTAAACAACACAATATACCAACTATTTACATGGTATTTAGATTGTATTAGTTACAATAGTAAAAGTAATCTAGAGATGATTAAAGTATATGGGGAGATATGCATAAGTTATATATAAATACTGTGCCATTTTATGCAAGGGGCTCGAGCATCTGTGGATTTTGATGTCTGTGGGGATCCTCCACAAATACAAGGGATGATGGTTATTTTTCATACATATATAAATGCGCATTTAGAGAAACAGTTAGAACCCTGTTGTTTGCCCCTGGAGACAGAGTAATGAAGTGAAACAGGAAAAGCCGACATGGGGGCTCTAATTTTGTATGTGTTTCTATTTTATATGCATATATGTCTATAAATATATAAAGAAGATGAATGTCAACAATTGTCAATATGTAGACAGTAGGTATACATGCACATTTACTAAAGTTTAAAAATGTTTGCCTTATAATACAAATAAAAGATAAACAGAATATTATGAAACCTGAACTGTTGAGACAGTTAATGTAGTTTTGTCTGTTAGCCATTCCTTAATAACCTCTTAGTTGGGATTTTATATCAATGTCAGGAGACGAGAGGTTATTAATTTAGAGTTCTTAAAAATTAGTGACACTATTTAATTGTTTTAAGTGAACTGTGTATAAATTAACAAAACTGTTCAATTTCAGTTTAACCTGCTTTATATTTATTGGATTCTTGTATAATACTTTTAAAACAGAAAATAATGTCTCAAAATTAATTTAATCATAGTTCATTTCCTGGCTCAACATATCCTTGTTTCTCATGGATATGATATAGGTTTATCTAAGATTTAATTGATACACTTGATATTAGGGGATTTGTTTTGTTTTGATTTTAGAACTGATGGAAAGAACACAGCAGAGGAGCTTTTATGTATACATGAAGCTATTCTCATTCTGTGTATTAGAATCCAACTCCTTGGCAAAAACTAAACAGCCTCCAAAAAGCCTGCTGGATTGGCTCTGTCCATTCCTCATACTATGACAAAGAACTGTGGAGCGTCAATAGGGAAAAGAAAAGGGCATGGGGGCACTGCAGGTGAGAATTAGGATTAACAGCTAAGTCCCTGAAGCTGAAATAAGTAATGAATTTTTTGTCTCACGTCATTTCCACTTTAATCTGTCCGAATACAAATAAAACACTGAAATAGAATATGTTCTACAGAATATACATTTGGATATTTTGCTTCTGGTCAGTTGAATTTAATGCTGTTTATAATTTTTAAATTTCCACTGAAACATAAATGGAGGTGATAATAGCAAAGTGGTCGCTAACTTGCTGATGAGGTACATTCTCACATTCTTCTGCTTCGTTTGCAAACCCTGTAAAATGAATTCTATTCTTTGACAGATCACTTGTCATTCTTTCCCATTTTATTAGAATGCATATCATTTCAACTCAGCACCAGGAATAAAAGCAACCATCTTATTCTGTTACTTCTTTGGATTGGGTATTTTATGTGATAAGGATCTAATGTATAAATTTTAATATGTCACTATTCTAATGAAAAAAGCCTATCTCAAGAGCGTTAATGTAGCTGCAGCTAGTAATCATGGGGCACTGGGGTTAAATGGAGAGTCAAGAGATTTGAAGTGAAGCCATTATATCACTACAGATTGGTAATCACATATGGTATACGCTGTTCATCCTCAGATTGAATTTAAATCAGCAAGTGTGGAGCTTCAAAAAGTCACACCTTAGAGATAAGCTAGCTCTTATAATAAAATCATATAAGCCCTTCACTTAATAAATGGGAATATTAACATTTCTATAAAAGGTTATTCACTTTCTCAAGATCATTCTCATAACCATCCATGCTAATTTACTATAATGAATAATAGATTTTGAAATTTTATAATATCAATATTTATATAACAATATACTTAACAATAAAGTCAATTTATTTGTGTAATGCATTTGTTTCCTTAGGTCTTTGAGAGACTCTCTTTTTGATGAGTCGTCTATGTTATCCTCAGTACATATTTGAACAGTAAATTTTAAAAAGGAAGAGTTGGTATACTATAAACTTAAATCCTTCCCTAGTATACTCTATTGGTTCCTTAGGAAAAAATAAGCCTACATATTTTTTATTACTTTTCAAGTTGGATTTTATAAAATAGATGTACACATTTAAGGAAATTTTCACTGTACTTTCTCTTAAAAACTAAGAGCCACTCCTTTTTTAATAACTTGTCTTAGAACCAGCTATTCACATGTCTTAATTACATATCAATCTAATCATAGGTAGAAGAAAAACAAAAACAGCCAAAATTATTTAAATATTTACAAATCCGTAGAAGCAGAAAAGAATACAGTTATAGTTTATTCTAATTTAAAAATTTAAGTAGATTGAACTTAGTTCTTATCAAAGTTATTTATCTTAGTTATTGGATTTAGAGTTTACTGCTGTTATCTCTTTTCCAGTCTTCCTGCTTCTTGTTCTACTAAGTTTAGTCTCAATGGAGCAGCCACAGGTAAGCTTTTAAAACCTAAATCAAATTTTTGTCCCCTCTCTGCAGGAAACTCTGCAAGGACTCTGCATTTCATCTGGAGAACAATGGACTGGAAGAGTACATAATCTATCCCCTTCACATCAACACACAAGCACTGATATTTCTCTGATATTTGCTGCTACAACCTCCCCAGATGCAGCCACAACTTACTTTGTTGTTTCTTTACACTGAACACATACCTTAGCTGACCTTGCTTCCTGAAGTGCAAATTGCGCAAATGTAATCTTTGCAAAATTCCTCATATTCCTCAAACATTTGCTCAAACTTCATCATTTTTGAAGACTCTGATCACCCTACAAATGCTACAGACATCTACCAACTCAGCATTCTATTCATTTAATTACTCCAATATTGTCATTGTTTCAAATATCCATAACCTTTTAATGTATTATATAAATTATTTATTATTGTAGAAAATGAAAATTAGCTGGACAGCAAATATCTACCCAGTCAAAAAAGATTTAGATAAATTCAGCTGGAAAGTTAACAGGAAACACATTTCTTCCAAGGTTTGTGGCCACTGAAAAGTGGTAAGATAACTGCCTTCTTTGATTGACTACCTCTTTCTTTCTTTCCTCCTTTTTTCTTTCCTTTCCTTTCTCCTTTCTTTCTTTCTTTCTTTCTTTCTTTCTTTCTTTCTTTCTTTCTTTCTTTCTTTCTTTCTTTCCTTCTTTCTTTCTCTTTCTCTTTCTTTCTCTATCATAAATTGTGCTTTTTGAAATTATGCCGGTAAGAACAACATATCCCACTCTTGCTTGGATAATCTGTCATTTTGAAAGAGAGAAGCAACCTTTATACACAATCTAAACTCAAAACTTCAGTTGGGAGTTTCTGAATAAAATATTAACTTTATTGTTTCCAAAGAATTAAAACTCAGAGTCCACTTTGCAGTTCAGACGAAAACCCCAAATTTTATTTGGAAAAAAAAATGGCCCAATTCAGTGAATATTGGAAGAGAATCAATATAGAGAATAGAATATCCAAGAGCAAATAACCTAGAAACTTTTTTCAAGATATATACTGTAAGGTTGGGCATGGTGGTTCATGCCTGTAATCCCAGCACTTTGGGAGGCTGAGGTGGGCGGATCACCTGAGGTCAGGAGTTTGAGACCAGCCTGACCAACATGGTGAAACCCCATCTCTACTAAAAAAACATGCAAAAATTCATCGGGTGTGGTGGCATGTGCCTGTACTCCCAGCTACTCAGGAGGCTGACGCGAGAGAACTGCTTGAACCCAGGAGGCGGAGGTTGCAGTGAGCCGAGATTGCACCACTGCATTCCAGCCTGGGCAACAGAGCGAGACTTCATCTCAAAAAAAAAAAAAAAAAAAAAAAAAAGAGAGATATACTGTAAAGAAACTATGCCATATATGAGGGCCGTAAATAATGTCCATAAACATGAGGTGTGCAATAACCAGAATCTGAACGTTATATACATTTTTATCAATTAGAATGGAACATATTTTCAAAGGATTTATAACTATTCAATAGTTAAAATGGACACACTAGATCTATATATCAACATAGGAAGCTCTTGAAAATTAATTCTTAGTAAAATTGGCAATTTCCATTACATATAAAATTTGAAAATACAAAATAATACCATGAATAATTTGGGAGCATATTGATATATAGCAAATAGCAAATGTATTGAATATCGATGGGAACGAATCAGAATAATCGTTACTCTAGGAAGGATTCTGATTGCCTCTGGGATGGTGTGCAAAAATGTTTTAATATCTTTAGATTTCTTAATATTTCTCAAGCAAATATAACAAAATCTTCCCATCTTTTGTAGTCCCAAAATTAGGTATATGTACCTTTGTTGAATTATTATCTGCTCTTTCTTAAATTTATATTAACAAATAAAAAATATAAACTAAAAAATAATTTAGCACTAAACTAAAAAAAATTTAGACAACGGTAAATAAACTGATTTATGAATGTCTTTAATTATTCCATCACTAGGAAAAGCAGGCTTGCTATTTATGTTCTGCTTAATCTGATGGGTCCTGAGAATGGCAGTCATTCTGCATTTTTCCACATTTTTTCCTTTTACCTAGTGGAAATTATCTTTGCAGTTATCTTACTTGTTCTCCATCAATGCATACAAGGATTCTGAGAACTGGTTGGGACCATTTAAAATATTTTATTTTCACACGCTGGAAAGGCTGAATATAAAGTTAGGACTTACATCAAATGTCATAAATTCCCCAGAGATCCTGCTCTTTGACCGCAATAACAGGGTAAAAATTCAGTAGTAGTCTACAGTGTCTTCTGAACAAATAAATACCTGATGACTATGCATTTTACTGATAACCCAGGGTCTACCTGCTTTCCTCTCTAACAACTTTTCTATTGGCCATTTCACAGTTTGTTACTTTCCTTGCCTAAGGTAGGAAAAGAAAATAAATTCAGAGTTCAAAATTTAAATGAGCCTACTAGGATAATTTATTTTATTTTATCCACCCAAAGACTCCAAAAATCTGAAAGCAAAATCTATATAGATATGATATATATTAAAATATTATAATATATAAATATGTATATTTTATTTCTATTAGACAAAGAAATTAGAAAATATACCTGCCAAATAACAATGAAATCTAAAAATTAAAAAATACCTTGGGGAAAATACTGAGAGTTGCCTGATTCCTCCAAAGAAAGAACTGAAGTAGGCTACATTTTTCCCTATAATTAAGCATCACACTCTTGAAAGACCTTTCCAATCATCCTTTCATTAGAAAGCTGGTATTTAGAAAGCTAGGTGTATCTTAGGAGAATCAGGAATGGTTCCTGTAGAACATTCAAGGAAGTAGTGAGAGTGTTGCCACATAAAACCTTGCTTAAACTTTATTTTAAATTTCTGTTGCCTGTCTTCAACCAAGGAATCCTGCTGGCAGTGAAATACAATAAAGAAAAGAGAAGAAAGCATTGTTCTGTCTTTCATGAAAAACAAAGACACTTCTAAATTACTGGGATTTTTTTATTTGTCCTCTTGCTATCTTCCCCTCTCTTGCCACCTCCCCTCCCCAGTCTCTGGTAATTTAATGAACCAGATGAGCCGTAAGAAAATTTTAAATTAAGGGAAGACTTTACCCAGGGGGGGAAAAAAAAGAATAATAAATATATAAGCAGGTAACGAACACCGTCACAAGGGGAAGTTCCCAAGAAGTAAAGGAAATATTCAAGGTTCCTCTGACCTCAACCCAAAATAGCCTCCAAGAATTACAGATCTCTCTTGTGATATTCCAAGTTATGAAGACAAATTCTATATCAGTAAGGAATATTTCTGTTTCAAGTGATATACTTTTATATCAAATCAATTTAATTAAAAAAAAATCATTTACTCCCAAAATTGGAGATAATGCTGCCATCAAGTGCATCTTTGTTATCAAAGAGATTGGATATGCAGTGGAGGGAAAGATACAATTTAAAAATATGAAGATCTAGCATTTAGAATAGTCAATAAGTTAATCTAAAAAAGATCTCAAATAATAATAAGCAGACACAAAAATAAAATATCAAGTAGGAAACTTTTATGTTTGTAACTTATTTAGAACTAAGACACTGTAGTAAAAATCATTTGTTGCTATTTACTTGTAAATGTTTAGAAGAATTAGACAGTGAGTTTGGGTCTGATTTAATTTTTTTTGCTTATATCATCTTTTTTTGAGACATTTTCATAAGTTTCTTTTCTTTTTTCTTTTTTTTTTGAGACATACTCTTA
Source organism: Homo sapiens (assembly GCF_000001405.40). NCBI lineage: Eukaryota > Metazoa > Chordata > Mammalia > Primates > Hominidae > Homo > Homo sapiens. The sequence continues at coordinate 19,032,309 of NC_000005.10, read as the reverse complement.
TTTCATTCCTCATGCTGGAGTGCAGTGGCGCCATCATAACTCACTGCAGTCTCGACCTCCTGGGCTCAAGTGATCCTCCCATCTCAGCCTCCCAAGTAGCTGGGACTACAGGAACATGCCACCACACCTGGATATACATATATATTTTTAATTTATTACATTAGTAGAGATTTGTAGCCCAGGCTGAACTCGAACTCATGGCTTCAAGTGATCTTCCCACTTTGGCCTCCCTAAGTCCTGGAATTACAGGCATGAGCCATTGCATCTGGCCCTTTAATTCTTTAAGTGTTGTTTTCTTTAGTTCTCTGAACATATCTATAGCGGATGCATTGAAGTTAATGTTTGTTAAGTATTACATCTGTAACACTTTAATGACATTTTCCGTTGGCTGCTTTTTTTCCTGTGTGTGGGTCATATTTTCTGGTATCTGCATAGCTCACAATTTTTTTTTGGTGCAAACTGACATTTTAGATAATATATTTCAACAATTGTAGATTCTTGTCCCTCTCTCTGTGGCTTTTAATTATTGTTTGCCTTTTTTTTTCCCCAGGATGTGACTTGACCTTTTTAGTGAAATCTATCACACCTGCAGTGTAAAGCCTCATGTACACAGGCTCATGCGTGTGCACAGTGACTTTGGAATGACAGTGCTGTTAACTATTGTCTGTGTTTCTCTTTCTCTGATCACACCCAGTTGTTAAGCTCTACTAATTGCCGTCTGAGTCCTCTATTACTTTTGATAATGCCCCGGAGCATAAATTGCTCCACATTAAATTCAGAGCCCTTTACTGGAGTTGTGTTTGAGCTCAGTGTTTGAGATTTGCTCTGACCCCTAAAGGGCTCCTCTTAGCTGTCTCTTCCCTGGTTCCCTCTATAAACCGACTGGTCTATAGTTTAGCTTGTATCCGTCATAAAACTACCAGCCTCCTCTTAACTGCCTATGACGAAAACTTTCATTGTTTGTGCGAGTGCCCTCAGCCTTGAACTTTCTCATACTCTGTTTCAAATAAAGTCACTTTCTTAAGGAACAGCATTGGAGTTCCCTGTTTTACAACCTGTGTCTTCCCCATGGCAAAAATCTCTGAGCCACAGCTCCAAATCTGGGGGTAGAGATGATGCTGCACTTCTCTGTGAGTGACACCCCTGCTTTAGCAATAGGTCTCTGGGTAGAAATGGTGGCCTTGTCTGCTCAGCTTGCCTCTCCTGGCTTGAAACTCCATGCTACAAATAAGCTGGAATGAGGGCAGTTATGGCCATGGTGTTCTCAGGGTGCCACTCTTTTGGTAAGTCCTCTGCCTTGTAAGTGGGGATTGGGTAGAGGAAGGGAGCCCTTGACCTTTTAGTCACACTCACCTGAAATTTTTTTCTGCAACAGGTAGGGAAGAGAGAGGAATGAGAAATGCTGATGGCCTGACACTCCCAGAAAAATACTATAGCACTCAGGAAAGATAAGGAGAAGGAAAGCTCTGTTCTTCTGCACCCAACTGGAGTGAAGTTTCTATCACTCTGAGTTGTGAGGAGGAAGAAGGGAGAAGGCCACAATGCATATGCCACAGATTCTTGCCATTCTTACCAACTCGTAGATTTTCTTCAATGAATCTTTCTTAATTTGCTTTTCTCTCGCAAGACAATTTCCAGAGACTTTAAATGTTCGTTTTTGTTTGTTTGTTTTATAGTTTTCACCAGTTTTTATAATTTTCACCAGTTACATTTGTTTTGCTGGAGAGCGGGTCCATGGAGCTCCTCATACCGCCATTCCAGAAGTTATATTGTGCATCTACTCCAGAGTTGAAAGGCACTTGGGGATACTTCCAAGTTTTAGCTATTGATATGGGAGTGGGGATGGGAAGTGCTGGGTAGAGAAAGGCAGGGTCCCTAGCGAGGGCTCCACCTTCGGGACTGTGCCCAGGGACCTAGGTGAAGACAAGCATTTCTGTTTTCACAGTCACATGTTGCATTTTTCCAAGACCACCCTGGCCCAACATGGACCCTATCCTTTGTCTATAAAAACCCCTGAGACTCTAGCGGGCACAGACACAGGGAGCTAGATCTGGAGAGGAGCAGAGGAGTGGAAGAGCACACCAACAGGCACTAGCAAACGCCCACAGGCCATTGACCCAGGGAGGACTTGGAATTCGGCCAGGGGCAGTCAGAGGAGAGGGCAGCCAGTGGGCTGCCCAACTGCAGGGTAAGACCACCTTCCCATTCCATCGCCCTTCTGGCCTTCCCAGAAGGCCACTGAGAGCTACCTCCACTCAATAAAACCTTGCACCTATTCTCCAAGCCCACGTATGATCTGATTTTTCCAGTACACTAAGGCAAGAACCCAGGATACAGAAAGCTCTCTGTCCTTGCAATAAGGCAGAGTCTAATTGAGCTGATTAACACAAGCTGCCTGCAGAGGACAAAACTAAAAGAGTGCACTACACACGCCCACTGGGGCTTCAGCTGTAAACATTCAATCCTATGTGCTGCCTGAGGTCAGCAGGTCCCATGACCTGCCCCTCTGTGTGCTCCCCCTAGGGTTATGAACAGCAGGGTAAAGAAAAAGTGAGCCACACCCGCATGGCACACCCTGCAAGGAGGATAAGGGAACTCTTCCCATTTCACTATGATGAACAGAGCTGCCAAGGACAATTTTTGTATATGCCTCTGACACAGATGGACATGTGGAAATTTCTCATGAGTGTAAATATACCAAGAAGTATAATTGCTGGGCTCTAGATTATGTAAATGTGTATGCAAATGTTTTTTATTTAAAAATATCAAATTGTGCTTTTTTACACATAGTTATTATATTTTGCACTCTGACTAGGAATAAATCAGATTCTGTGGATTAACATCCTCCTTCCACTCCCACCTACAAAACACATAGTCTTTACTCATGAGAGATTCATATCATACCAGAGGATAGTTGTCTATGTTTTTGCCTAGAAATATATATATTTTTTCTTTCATATTTGAGTCTGCAATCCTCCTGAAATGGATACCTGTGGATGGTGCTGTAGTAAACTGAATGGTGGCTCCCAAAGACATCAGGTCCTAATCTATAGAATCTGTGTATGTCATCCTTTTAGGAAAAAGGGTCATTACAGATGTGACTAAGATAAAAAAAACTTCAGGCAGATTATCCTGGATTATCTAGTTGGGTTCTAAAGGTCATCACATGCCTATTTATTTATTTATTTATTTATTTATTTATTTACTTATTTTTTGAGACGGAGTCTTGCTCTGTCACCCAGGCTGGAGTGCAGTGGTGCGATCTCAGCTCACTGCAAGCTCCGCCTCCCGGGTTCACGCCATTCTCCCGCCTCAGCCTCTCGAGTAGCTGGAACTACAGGTGCCTGCCACCACACCTGGCTAATTTTTTTGTATTTTTAGTAGAGACGGGGTTTCACCGTGTTAGCCAAGATGGTCTCCATCTGCCGACCTTGTGATCCGCCCTCCTCGGCCTCCCAAAGTGCTGGGATTACAGGCGTGAGCCACCGCACCCAGCCCCCATGCCTCTTTACAAGAGAGAGATTTGACAAATATACCCAGAGGCCATCTGATGACAGAGGCAGAGATTGGACCGATGCAGCAAAAAACTAAAGAATGCTGGTAACTAACAGAAGCTGGACGAGGCCAGGAAGGATGGGTTCTGTCCTGTAAACTCCAGAGAAATTACAGCCCTGTTTTCACTGTGCTTTTATTCCACTGACACTCATTTCAGACATCTGGCCCCCAGAAGGGGTAAAAAACAAGTTTACGTTTTTAACCCGTTTAGAACTAAGGCACAGTAGTGAGAATCAGAAATCTTTATCTTTTTACTATTTCTTTATAAATGTTTAGAAGAATAAGTCAGTGAATTTGGCCTAAATTTTTATTTTTGAAAATGTTTATTTGTGAGAAGTTTACTTATAAACAATGTATCTTCAATATATGTATATTGTTACTCAAATATTCCATTATTTTATTGTGACACTTCTAGCATGTTAAGCCTTTTTCTAGGAATTAGTCCAAATTTTCTAGTTTTAAATTTATTGAAAGAGTTGTTTATAATATCCTCTTGCTATCATTATAATATCTAGTTTATATAGTAATGTCCCATTTATCATTGAATACCTTCAGAACATTTTTATAATTTAATTTGTTTTGTTTTGTTGTTAGTTGGCTTTGCTATGTGTTTATACATTTTACTAATCTGTTAATCTTTTAGATTTATGTATTTTCTTTATTGTACATTTGTACTCATAACTATTTTCTTAAATGTTACTCTTTGTTTTTTTAACTTTATCTCAGTTAATTTTTCACTTTCTTTTAATTCATTTGCTTTTATTTTCTAACTTTTTAAGATATAGACATATATAATTGATTTATAGTCTTTCTCTTTTTTAATGTATGAACTTATGGCTATAGATTTTATTCTAAGTGCAGGGTTAACTACATTCCACAACTTTTAATGTTTCTTTGCATTGCCATGTTGGTTGAAGTATTTTTTAATTCTATTTTGATCCATGTGTAATTTGGAAGTATCTTGTTTAATTTCAATATTTGAAACTATTCTAGAAATCTCTTTTGTTATTGACATCTAACTTCATTTTACTATGATCAGAAAAATATTATGAATGAGTTCACTTCACTAATTTTCTTAAAGCTTGCTTTATAGTCCTGCATGTAATCAATTTTGGTACTTTTTATGTGCAATTGAGAGATGGGTATATTATAAGTTGGTATTGTAATCTCTATATAATCAGTTAGGTCAGGTTTATTTGTTTCAATCATCCCTTTCTCCATTGATTATTTGTCTCATTCTATCATTTATTGATGAGGTCCTCCCCCGTTGATTTTGGAATTATTTATGTATTTTTTAATTTCTGTAAATCTTGCTTTATATATTTTGAATCCACATTTTTATGTCCACACAGATTTCAAATATACTTCTGGTGAGTTGTTTTTTACTCTTAAGAAATATCTTTCTTAGTATAATAATTCTTTTTGCCTTAAGATCTGTTTTCTCTGAAATTATGATAGCTAAAATATTTTATTTTTGTTGCTGTTGGCATATTTTCCTACCTTTTATATTCAACCTTGTATATAAGTTGTGTTGTGCTAAGCAGCATGAAGGTTCTCATCAGTTAGTTATTACTGTTTAACAAACTACTCCCAAACTTAGCAGCTTAAACCAATAAATATTTACTACTGATCACAAGTGTACCGGTCAAGTGGGCAGGTTTTTCTGGTTCAAGATGTGTCCATTCATACCTCTGAGGTCAACTTGCAGGTTGATTACAAAGCTCTTCTATTCTTAGCTGCCTTTCTCTCATGTTGATGTCTTAAGAATTACCTTTGCTGAGACAACTTGTTTTCTTCTCTGTGATGTTTCTATGGGCTAACCTAAGCTTATTTACTTGGACATAACAGGGTTAAGTGACAGAGTGAAATTATATGAGAATTCTTGAAATGTACGCTGAGAACTGGCACAAACCATCACTTCCACCTCAAATTACCAGACAAAGCAATGAACAAGGACAACCCCGATTCAAGGGGTGGAGAAATATACTCCACTATTGTTAAGAGTTGTGCATATTTATACTGTATAGACGATGGGTATAATTAGGGTAAAATATTGTTGTCATTGTAATAAGTCTTTCATAACTTTTCAGGGTAGTCTTTAAGAATTTGCCTTATAGAAAACTCAGTCTTCTCACATTTAACTTGTTAGTCATTATTATAATTTTCTACAATCAATATTCATTTATATTTAGTCACAAAATTACCCTTTGCATTAACTTTTTTCTTCCTGTATTCCTAGTTCCCTCATAGGATCATCTTTTCTCTACCTTAAGGAGTGTTTTTTACATTAAAATTTGTATTGGCCTGATAGTAAATAATTATTTAGGTTTGTATCAGTAAATACCTTTATTCACCTTCACTTTTGAAAGATATTTTCAGTGGTTATTACATTCCAGTTTGGAGGCATAAGTTGTTGCATTTGATAAATTTCCATAGTTTCCTCATTCTTCTCTTTGGAAACATGATGTGAGATTTATATCATCTCCCTTCCCCATCTTAAATAGGATTTCTAGTTAAAACATAAAATATTCAGTTAAATTTAAATTTCAGGTTTTCAATGAATTTTTAATACAAGCATATCGCACACAATATTTGTCATATAATTATGTAAAAATGTCTTAACCACTTATCTGAGATTCACATTTAACTGAGTGTCTGTATTGTTATTTACTAAATCTTAGAACCCTACCTAACCCATAGCTGAGAACCTCAGATCAATCAGAATGGAAAATACCATAACTTACAAGACAGTTTGTATGTTGTTATCAGCTTTAATTTCTGCATGCATTTGACATGCTATGGAGGTATTGATTTCTGCATAGACTGTGAGGAAGAAATCTAATTTATTATTTTCTATGGAATAATTATTTCTTACCAGCTCATCTCTTCATTGATGTGATATGCTACTTCTCTCGTAGATTATGGTTCCATACATGTACAAATGTTATTCTGAGCTCTGTGTTTCATACAAGTTGAGTTCTCACATATAATGTCAAGGATCTTTATCATGCTAAAGGTGTTTCTGGATATAAGCAAAAACCTAGAAAGAGATACCTGCTCTTCTCTTTCCTCCCACATGTGAAAAAAATCAAATTATAGAATCTGAGAGCTGCACTTGTGGGTTTATATGTAGAATTTGGATTTTAGAAAATATAATGTATACTTTTATTTCATTTTATAAAAACAGCTTCACTTGTCAAATTTGTCAAAAACGTTTGTATAAAGAAAAGTTAACTTGTTCATAGCTAAGACATTGTGTTTTTTTAACTTTTATTTTAGGTTTTGGGGTTACATGTGAAGTTTTGCTACCTAGGTAAACTCATGTCACAGGAGTTTGTGGTACAGATTATTTCATAACCCAGGAATTAAGCCCAGTACTCGATAGTTATATTTTCTGCACCTCTCTCTCCTCCCACGCTGCCCCCTCAAGTAGACCCTGGTGTCTCTTGTTACCTTGTTTGCAATCACAAGTTCTCATCATTTAGCTCCTATTTGTAAGTGAGAACATACGATGTTTGGTTTTATGTTCATGCATTAGTTTGCTGAAGATAATGGTCTCCAGCTCCATCCATGTTCCCACGAAAGACAGGATCCCATTTTTTTTTGGAGATGAATCTCGCTCTGTCGCCCAGGCTGGAGTGCAGTGGCGCAATCTTGGCTCACTGCAACCTCTGCCTCCAGGGTTCAAGCGACTTTCCTGCCTCAGCCTCCCGAGTAGCCGGGATTACAAGCACGCGCCACCACGCCTGGCTAATTTTTGTATTTTTAGTAGAGACAGGTTTTCACCATGCTGTTCAGGCTGGTCTCAAACTCCTGACGTCGTGATCCACCCACCTCGGCCTTCCAAAGTGCTGGGATTACAGGTGTGATGATCCCATTTCTTTTATTTTTATTTATTTTTATTTTTTGACGGAGTTTTGCTCTGTCACCCAGGCTGGAGTGCAGTGGTGCAATCTCGGCTGACTGCAACCTCCACCTCCCGGGTTGAAGCGATTCTCCTGCCTCAGCCCTCCTGAGTAGCTGGGATTACAGGCACGTGCCACCATGCCTGACTAATTTTTTTTGTATTTTTAGCAGAGACGGGGTTTCACCACATTGGTCAGGCTGGTCTCAAACTCCTGACCTCATGATCCACCCACCTCAGCTTCCCAAAGTGCTGGGATTACAGGCATGAGCCACCGTGCCTGGCCAGAGCCCATTTCTTATGATTGTATAGCATTCCATTGTGTGTATGTACCACATTTTCTTTATTCAATCTGTCGTTGATGAGCATTTAGGATGATTCCATGTCTTTGCTCTGGTGAATAGTGCTGCAATTAACATTTGTGTGTGCATGTGTCTTTATGATAGAACTATTTATATTTTTCTGGGTATATACCTGGTAATGGAATTGCTGGGTAGAATGGTAGTTCTGTTTTCAGCTCTTTGGTAGTTCTGCCTTCCACAATGGTTGAACTGATTTATACTCCCACCAGCAGTGTATAAATGTTCCCTTTTTCTGCATCCTTGCCAGTATCTATTATTTTTTGACTTTTTACTATCAGCCATTCCAACTGGTGTGGGATAGTATCTCATTGTGGTTTTGATTTGCATTTCTCTAATGATCAGTGATATTGAGCTTTTTTGCAATGCTTGCTGGTCGCATGTATATCTTCTTTTAAAAAGTGTCTTTTCATGTCCTTTGCCCACTTTTTAATGGGGTTGTTTTTCTCTTATACATTTTCTTTTCTTATAGATGCTGGAGATTAGACCTTTTTCAGATGCATAGTTTGCAAATATTTTCTCCCATTCTGCAGGTTGTCTCTTTACTCCATTGATAGTTTCTTTTCCTGTGCAGAAGCTGTTGAGTTTAATTGGATCCTATTTGCAAATTTCTGGTTTGCTGCAATCGCTTTTGGTGTCTTTGTCATGAAATCTTTGCCTATACTTATGTCCAGGATGGTATTGCCTAGGTTGTCGTCCAGGGTTTTTATACTGTTGGGTTTTTATGTGTAAGTCTTTAATCCATCTTGAGTTGTTTTTTTATATTGCGTAAGGAAGGGGTCCAGCTTCAGTCTTCTGCATATGGCTAGCCATTAGAAAGCTTCATTTCTTCTTCATGACAGCAATGGCCATAAAAAGGTAGAATGGAGAATATAAGGAGATATTATCATATTGAAATATTAATAAAAACTCTTAATTATTTTATATCGTATAGAGGATGGGTATAATTAGGGTAAAATATTGGGTTAGCATTTATCGACCCCTTCATGGCAAGCAGAGTGTACGTGCTTATCCATAATATGTAATTTAATTATCTACTAGCCCAATCAACCAAGGACTATTATTGTCCTTATTTTGCAGAGGAAATTGCTAAGTAACATCACTGACAAGTGACATACTAAGGATTCATATCAATATCATCACATTCCAGAGGTGCAACGTGTAGCCACCACCTTTCCAGGCAAAGAATGGAAGTGCTTATCCATCTGTGTGCATCTTTTATTCAAAAGAGTACTAAAACCAACAGGACTTTATGAAATTTGCCACAACACATGCTATTGGCAGTGACCAAACTCACATAAGGTCTTGTGGGCTAAGCAGCAATGGTTTCATTCCATCCTTGCACAAGAAGAATGCAGGCTCCTTGATAGCATCTTGCCCCAAGAATAAGGTCAGAGATTGAGAAGAAGGAGGGAGGGATAAGTGGGTGCTGCTCCTATTTCCTTCATTGTGCTAACACTCATTGAAATGGCCTCTTTCTTTTCCTGAAGTGCTGGTTTTATGAACTTTTAATTTGGATATTTCTGCAAGTTTGTTTAGAGAGAATTGGGATAAGGCGTGTTCCTTTACTCCAGTTTCTTTAGCATGTCCTCCCTTGTGGACTCCTGAAATAGATGGCTTTTGTTTCTCTGGGGAGTGACTTATTATCATGAACAATGAATTGCTGTACTTTGTCTAAACGGCATGTAAATTTGAGTACTAACCTACATTTTAAATTGAAGTATGTGCCAATAACTCATCATAGGCTGTCCAGAACATGAGCAAATATAAGAAGACATATCTCAAATGTGAAGTCCTAATTAGGGAAAAGAAGTCAGGCTGGTAGGACCAGGGAAAAACAAAAAGCAGATAAGCTACAAGTATGCCTTTCTTCGTAGTCCGGGACACATAGCCTTCCTGTGTAAATAACTCACAATCTTCCGTGCCCAACTATCACCAAACACCTGAAAGTTAGCTCACTACAACCTTGGCATTATCAGTACTGCACAAAGCCCACTTCAGCATACTGCATAAAAACTATGCTATAAAATCTCCAGCAAACCTTTGTGTTTTTTTTTTTGCTGTCGCTTCTGCTTGTCTGCATGTTGCTGTTTTGCGATGTATTTTCCAACTTATATGAATAAATCTGCCTTTATCTACAACTCTCTTGGTAAATTCTTTTACCCCTGTGCCACCGGCCCAGATAGTCATCACTCCCTGGTGACATTACACATAAAATCATATACTTCAGTTTAGTATGTCATGTAAAATATACTTCATTTAGATCAGGACAGGGGTGAATAGTATCTTAGCTCCAGCTCATTTATTTCATGAAATTTATTCTGTTGGTATAGGGTTGAGGGAAAATCTATCAGTTACTCATTGGTAGTGAATACATTTGGGGTGAAAGAATCTTTCACTTGTTTTCTCAACAAATAATAAACAGATGGACATTCTGATAGACTGTTGTTAGTATATATGTATGCAAAAGATTTCCCATGTTTTCAAATAGGTACAACAGCATTTAGTAAAGACTCAGGAACCAGATCAATTGTGTTGACAACTTCCCAATGGGGAAGGTGTTCAGCTCTTGCTTCTGTCCTAATGAGTGTCTCTATACAAAATCCCAGGCTTATACCATAAGGAAAGCTTGTCATCTAATCAACCACAACCTGGTTCAACAATACAGGTAAGGAATAATCCCCATCACTGGCTGGGCACAGTGGCTCACGCCTGTAATCCCAGCACTTTGGGAGGCCGAGGTGGGTGGATTACGAGGTCAGGAGATCGAGACCATCCTGGCTAACACGATGAAACCCCGTCTCTTCTAAAAATACAAAAAATTAGCTAGGTGTGATGGCGGGCGCCTGTAGTCCCAGCTACTAGGGAGGCTGAGGCAGGAGAATGGCGTGAACCCGGGAGGCGGAGCTTGCAGTGAGCTGAGATCGCGCCACCGCACTCCAGCCTGGGTGACACAGCGAGACTCCGTCTCAAAAAAAAAAAAAAAGTCCCCATCACTAAATTTTTCTTTTCTTATATGTTCTTCTCCCCTCCAAAAGTAAAAATAAAAAAAATCAATTATTATTAAACCAATAAACATATATTACAAACCAGATTATTTTATGTTTCTAAATGCCCTAAGCAAGGTTAGGAATATAATACTTTTGTGTTCCATAAAAAATAAGAACTTAAGATATACTAAATAGTGAAATTTATAAATGTAGGAAGAAATTAGAGATAGAATAAAATGATCTAGTAGGTGCACGTGGGAGAGGATCAACTGTCATAATGGGTATGATGCTTGGAGATGATGCTAAAAAAATACTTACTCCTAGTATGATAAGCCCGGAAATAATTCACACATCTCTTGAATTTTTCCCTTGTTTTAACCAATTTTAAATTTGTCTTTAGATTTCAGGTAAAATCTAGTCTTCTGAAGATGTGCAGGTTTAAACTCTGGCATCCCTAAGATCATACTTCCTAAGTGGAAAAGCACCTTAAACAGCCACCTACCATGAACTTCGCCCTTATTTATTGCAGCTGCTTCCTGAATGGATTTTAATTTAATGTTACTGTTGAGGCACAAAAAACAGAAATGAAACTTATCAATCTTCAAGGGTCAACACAAACATCAAGAACACAGAACAAAAAGAGAAAACAATAAATAAATTGAGTTTAGCCAAAATTAAAACTTTCATGCTTCAAGAAAAATAACATTGAGAAAGTAGACAACCCACAGAATGAGAGAAAATATAGGCAAATTGTATGCCTTATAAAAGATTTGCATCTAAAATATATATATAAACCCTTAAAATTTAATAATAAAAGGACAAATAATCCAATTAAAAATAGACAAAGTAGATATAGACATTTCTCTAAATAATACATACAAATGACCAACATGTATATGAAAATATGCTCAATATTATTAGTCATTAGACAAACACAAATCAAAATCATGACATATCACTTTGTACTCACTAGGGTAGCTATACTGAAAAAGGCAGATAATGACAAGCATTAGTCAGGATGTAGATAAACTGGAACCTTCATACACTTTTAGGGGAATGTAAAGTAATGGAGCAAACTCAGAACATTCTGACTGTTTCTGAAAACTTTAAACATGCATTTATCACACATCCCAAGAGTAATGGAAGCATGTATCCACACAAAAAGTTGTGCAAAAATGTTTATAAGAGCCAAAAGTAGAAGCAATCCAAATGCCCATCAACTCATAAGTGGATAAAATGAGGCATATTAATACAATGGAATGTTATTCAGCAATAAAATGGAAATATGTTGCATGCTACAATGTAAATGAATCTTGAAATAATTATACTAAACAAGTCATTACAAAAGACTACATATTATATAATTCCATTGATGTAGAATGTCTGGAATAGATGAATCTATGGAGACAGGAAATAGATTAGCTATTGCCTGGAAAGTGGGGTTAGGGAGAATTTGGAAGTGACTGCTAATGGCCGTAAGGTTTGTTGAGGATAGTAATGAAAATGTCGTAAAATTGGTTGTGGTGATGATTGCACAACCCTGTGAATATAGGAAAAGCAATTAAATGTAGTCTAAATAGTTGAATTTAATGTATGTGAATTTTATAAATGGTTACAAAACATACTAACAAAGAGTAGGGTCACTATAAACCTCTCTAGAGTGACCAGAGGTTCAGCAGGACCACGAATCAGCACCTCCTGGCTGATCTCCATCAGCAGGAAGATCAACTTTGTCAGATACACCTGATTCAGTCACAGCTGATAAGCGTGGGCTGAACGCACCAAAGGAACGTGCCCCATTATTTCAGACAATGTCTTGTGGCACAGGGAAAATATAGTCACATTTCCTGAAAAAACAAGTGGAAATCTCAGGAGCCTGTCTTCACTGAGTGTTAGCAGTCAGGACTGGTTTTGAGGTTGTCTTGTATGGAGAGAAGAAGTGTCATCATCCGAAGTTAAAAAACAAACTAATTTGAAAATAAAACAGCCTAAATAAAGCATCTCTCAAAAGAGTACAACCACATAACAGTCCCCAGATGTGAACAAAGGGGAATTATCCATCTAAGGAGTCCAGCAAGAAGTGAATGCTAAGGAAAAAGAGCCACCTAAGTTTGGAGATTTTAACCACAGCAGTAGCATATGGGATGCAGGTGGCTTTAGATTTGGACTAGGAAAAAAAAATGGTTAAGTAAAATACTAAAAAGTCAAAAGTTTGTAAAATGCAACAAATGATCAGGAAATCCACAGGAATTGCAGGATCACTGTGTTGGTTCCTTCTAGAAGGAGACAAAAAGTTAAAAAGTAAAACATCTTCAGAAAGGGACAGAGCAAGGCCAAAGGAAGCCTGAAACCAATGCAGTCCACCAGCAGCAAAGAAAGAGCTTTGCAACTCTGTTAGCTTGTTGTCCCAGGCAAGTAGCAAACCCGAGATGAAACCTTGCACCCTGACGTGGATGCCTGCGGCTGTTGATAACTGAAAAGAGCAGGCTGGGTTATTAGTGTGGGGTTGAGAAACAACAACAATCCTTTTATCAGGCAGACGCATTTCCCTGACCACAGTCAATAAAAATTTCCATAGTTAACTCTGCTTTCAGATGTTTTTCTTCTGTTCGATATTTTGTGGTAACAAAAAATGTTTTACCATGACATAACAAACAGGCAGTTAGAATGCTAACTATGATTCTCAAGTGAAAATATTTCATTTGCTGAAGGCTTGCTACTTCAAATGAGTTTATCCTGGCAGTGTAATATTACTTTTTGCAAAATAGGAACTGAAACTGGCTTTGTCTGAGATTATCGATTCATTTATTTTTTTAAAATAAAGTTTGGGGTAAAGAGTTTTATTTCTGACACATTCCCCAGAATGTAAAAAATTTACCTTCTTGGTTTAAAATGTATTGATGGATTAAATTATTCTTAGAATGGTTGTGTAAGCTGATATATTATAGCATTAATTATATTTTAACATAATTTGCAGAATGAGAAATAGGAAACATAAACTAGAATGTTAAGTTGAATAAAAATGCATGTTTGTACCTTTGTTGTCTCAAAGTTTATGAATATTTGTGAATCAGAACTTGAGTAGCAAAATGTCAGCCTCTGCCTTTTTCTTTCATAGCATCAATGCTCTTCATTCTCCTCGAGTTTGCTAAATGCTGCTTTAGATACAAGAATAATAAGAGATAAGAACAGAAAAGAGGAGAAAAGAAAGGAGGAAATGATAAATAAGTGAAAGCAGCATTTCATGCAGCATTAAAGACACTCATAAAAAACATTCTGTGGCAATCCTTTTTCTAAGATCCTGTTGCTATTCTATCTTAAATATAAGGAACTAAAATTCTACTGGAATAGAAGCTTTCTCACTTACCATCACTCTTTTATGTGAGCTTACAAATTTTGTAAATATGCAGAAAATCTTCTACATAACAACAGAAAAAGTTCTGATACTTTTAAAGCATAATTACAAGCATTTTTGAGCATGTCTAATCAGGTCACTGATGAATAGCTGGGCTACTTCATTTGTACTCATAGAATAGACAAGCAGCACATTCATAATCCTCCAATGACAAGGATCATATAACACTTTAAGGAGGCTACTGAAATAAAACACCCTCGATAACCTTTACTAACAGCAAAAGTGAAATATTTCTGTATGGTTAAAACAACTTGCCATTTTGCTTAACTCAGAACCTGTAGTCACTGTCTGCAATATACTTTTTATTTCTTTTTTTTTTAATTATACTTTAAGTTTTAGGGTACATGTGCACAACATGCCGGTTTGTTACATATGTATACATGTGCCATGTTGGTGTGCTGCACCCATTAACTCGTCATTAACATTAGGTATATCTCCTAATGCTATCCCTCCCCCAGCCTCCACCCCACAACAGGCCCCGGTGTGTGATGTTCCCCTTCCTGTGTCCATGTGTTCTCATTGTTCAATTCCCACTTATGAGTGAGAACATGCAATGTTTGGTTTTCTGTCCTTGCGATAAGTTGCTGAGAATGATGGTTTCCAGTTTCATCCATGTCGCTTCAAAGGACATGAACTCATCCTTTTTTATGGCTGCATAGTGTTCCATGGTGTATATGTGCCACATTTTCTTAATCCAGTCTATCATTGATGGACATTTGGGTTGGTTCCAAGTCTTTGCTATTGTGAATAGTGCCGCAGTAAACATGCGTCTGCATGTGTCTTTATAGCAGCATGTTTTATAATCCTTATACCCAGTAATGGGATGGCTGGGTCAAATGGTATTTCTAGTTATAGATCCTGAGGAATCGCCACACTGACTTCCACAATGGTTGAACTAGTTTACAGTCCCACCAACAGTGTAAAAGTGTTCCTGTTTCTCCACATCCTCTCCAGCACCTGTTCTTTCCTGATTTTTTAATGATCGCCATTCTAACTGGTGTGAGATGGTATCTCATTGTGGTTTTGATTTGCATTTCTCTGATGGCCAGTGATGATGAGCATTTTTTCATGTGTTTTTTGGCTGCATAAATGTCTTCTTTTGAGAAGTGTCTGTTCATATCTTTCACCCTCTTGTTGATGGGGTTGTTTGTTTTTTATCTTGTAAATTTGTTTGAGTTCATTGTAGATTCTGGATATTAGCCCTTTGTCAGATGGATAGATTGCAAAAATTTTCTCCCATTCTGTAGGTTGCCTGTTCACTCTGATGGTAGTTTCTTTTGCTGTGCAGAAGCTCTTTAGTTTAATTAGATCCCATTTGTCAATTTTGGCTTTTGTTGCCATTGCTTTTGGTGTTTTAGACATGAAGTCCTTGCCCATGCCTATATCCTGAATGGTATTGCCTAGGTTTTCTTCTAGGGATTTTATGGTTTTAGGTCTAACGTTTAAGTCTTTAATCCATCTTAAATTAATTTTTGTATAAGGTGTAAGGAAGGGATCCAGTTTCAGTTTTCTCCATATGGCTAGCCAGTTTTCCCAGCACCATTTATTAAATAGGGAATCCTTTCCCCATTTCTTGTTTTTGTCAGGTTTGTCAAAGATCAGATAGTTCAATTAGAAAAAGAGGAAGTCAAATTGTCCCTGTTTGCAGATGACATGATTGTATATCTAGAAAACCCCATTGTCTCAGCCCAAAATTTCCTTAAGCTGATAAGCAACTTCAGCAAAGTCTCAGGATACAAAATCAATGTGCAAAAATCACATGCAATATACTTTTAAAAGGGGGTTTTTCCAGCTTTCTTGTAAATGAACAATTAATCATTATAAATCTCCATGTCAATAGTATTGCATTTATACCCTGGAATACAAATTTCAAGGTGTCGTGAGAAATTAAAATAATTCTCCTCAGTGAAAGAATTGTTTCTATATTCAGAAAAAACACTCTAGTAAGGTTCTACTGAGAAAGGTATAAATATGAGAAATATCAGCCAACAGCACTTTCATCTGTTTTTCCGAAGTAAAGTGACATAAAATATGGAGTTGCCTATTGATACAAATTTTAAGTAGGTAGGAAGAAGCATCTAAAAAGAAGATCAAGAGAGGGCTGACCAAAGATCTCGTGTTAAGTGTTCTTACACACACACACACACACACACACAATAGTGATAATAAGAGAGTAGGACAGAACTTGTGTAGGTGTTGAATAGATTTATGGCATAAACTGTGATAATAGTTTCATGGGTGTATACTTATCTCCAAGCTCACCAAATTGTATAAATTAATTATGCACTATCTTTTGTGTGTCAAAGTTTTTTAAGTGGCAAGAAAATATGAATGAAAACGTGGAGACAAACCCAACAGTATAGCAGTTTGAAATATTGCAAATGCCATAGGCAGTAGCCAGTAACCGGTTGTGAAAAAGTGTCCTACAAATTTCCAGAGCAGTGTGCTATAATCACACTATGATTATGCATAATCTCCAGCAAATGAATGCTAACACATAAAAATCATGTGATACAAGAGGCTTAAGGCAGAGCACAGAATGTCAATGCAGTGCCTATGGCTGTTAAGATACCTGTACTCCAATAAGAGATTTTTAAAAATAAATCTTGAGTCCCACTCTTTCCTGATGTCTTCATTTCCCAGGTGAGTTAAAGCGTGGATCCAGCAGGCTACAGGAGAAATTATGCCAAAACATGCCTGATCACCTATTTAATTATGGAAACTTTCTTCCAACTTCGGCCCTTTACATTGGGCAGGGAATATGAGTAATAGATTGAATTTGTGACAGTTACTGTAATTTGTTTCCAAAGGAGTTTGAGTACATTTAATATTCTAGTATTGGTGGCACAATAAATAACATAAAACCAGGATATTGGTCTAAGTCCATAAACCTGAGTAAAGATGAATATTAGTCAATTTCAGGCAAATTTCTGTAAGGATGGAAACAATACCCAAAGTTCTTCAGCCCATGACATCCATTTTTAGTAGCATAAGTTGTCTAGGTATTTTGTCACTGTAGATTGGCTGTGTTTTGGATGGACCGTTTCATTGCCAAGTGACAAATCACCTAAGTAGGAACAAAAGCAAGCTCATGGTTTAATTAGACGGGAGGTAAAGCTAGAGAGTAAGTTGTCACAACTTTTTGTGAAGTTAGTTAAGACAGGGCATTGCACTTGATTAGACAGGTTATTTCTATCTCACAATGTAAATTTCTGGGTCTTGGCATAACTTGGAAAACATTGATTCAGATAAGGCTCATTGCAGCTTATGTATTTCAACTCGAAGAGGCAAATGTATCCTTTGGTGACATGGTCTGTCTGTACCACTGATCACTAATGGTGTAAAAATGGTTTCTACATGAGTATGTGTTCCATTTAGTATCTACAGAACTTCTTAATCCAAAAGCCAGAGACCAGAAATTATGAACAAAGTATTATTGGCAAATTTTCACACTTGCTATAGACACCTGTTACTT
This sequence comes from Homo sapiens, assembly GCF_000001405.40. Taxonomy (NCBI): domain Eukaryota; kingdom Metazoa; phylum Chordata; class Mammalia; order Primates; family Hominidae; genus Homo; species Homo sapiens. The sequence goes on along the minus strand of NC_000005.10, from coordinate 19,014,611 downwards.
TATAGCATCTGAAGGAGAAAGCAGCCCAAATTTAAGAAGTGTTTTCTGGCTGCTTAAACTGTGTTCAGACCTTCTGGTTACAGACCATCTCATGTAAGTTTGCCAAATGTTGAATAATTTTATATAGACACTTTAATAGAGTTCTCAGTTGTGGAGTATGCTTCCTCTAATATTAAAAGAGCCTAATTATATACTGGCCTTTCTTATTTGTAGTCAGTGGTGATAAAGCCAACTGTTTGAGCTGCTAATATAACTACCAAGAACATCACTGAAGTACCAGAAACCTAAATTTTGTACTCAATCAATGCCTTTTAACCTTTGATAAACTGAGTTTCAACAGGGAAAAATTCTGAATGGGAGATCTCTGAAGTCATCATAAAAAAGATGAAACTTTAAGAAAGCGTTGCCCCTTTGCACATTTCCTTGCTATGAAGTCCACTCAAGCAGTGGACACAACAGGCTTTTATCTGCTTTTTCATATTCTTTCCTTGAAAAGTTGAGCAACTTATTTTATTTGAAAATTCTAGAAAAATAAACTGAGTATTCCTGATTCAACAATAAGAAGGCTATTGGAACACCTTAGGCAGGAGAAAATCTTTTTTATCTTTGTGTGTTTGTGTGTATGTGTGTGACAGAGAGAGAGAGAGACTAGGTCTCACTCTGTCTCCCAGGCTGGAGTGCAGTGGTACAATCATAGCTCACTCTAACCTCAAACCCCTGCCAGGACAACTGAACCCCTGGCCTCGGCCTCCCAAAGTGCTGGAATTACAGGCATGTGACACTGCTCCCAGCCAATTTTTATAATTACCTTAAAATTGAATAATAATTGTAGTCATAATTACTGTCTCTTAAAAGTGGAGTTATAATGGTGAAAATTTTAAATGAACATTTAAAAATCATGTAAATGTAATAAACTAAAAATACATTCAAAATTATATCTGTAATAGTAAATACTGTTATTTCATTCATTCATTCACAAATATTTATTGATCACCTATTGTATGCCAAGTGTTGTTCACTACATTAGGATTACAGCACTATTGCTGTAATGGATCTCAGCTTCTGGTAGTAACAGACAATAAAAGCAACCTGTACATTATAAAATGCTAGGTAGTAATAAGTACTATCTGTAACTTCATAATAAAGAGATACATTACAGCGTTAAAACTTCAGAGCACAGGCCAAATATGTAGTGAAAGATGTAGTTATATTAAGATTCTCCTTGACTTATGACAGGGTTACATCCTGATAAACCAATCATTAGGTTAAAATATCATTGAGTTAACAAAGCATTTAATACACCAAACCTTCCTAACATCATAGTTTTGCCTAGCCTACCTTAAATGTGCTCAGAACCCTTACATTAGCCTACAGTTGGGCAAAATCATCGAATACAAAGGCTATTGTATAATAAAATGTTGAATAGCCCAGGTACTTTATTGAATTCTGTTCTGAAAGTGAAAAACACAATGCTTGTATGGGTACTTGAAGTATGGTGTCTAATGAATGTTTATTGCTTTTGCACTTTCATAAAGTTGAAAAAGCTTTCATCAATTTTGTAAGTCATAGCGGAAAGTAAAACAATTCAGGTAGAAGGGTTATAAAAGAAAAGGCCCTGAGATGCAAACCAACTTTCCTGGGAGAACTAGCTTGGAGACCAGTGTAGCCAAGACAGAGTGATCAGAGGCAATGATAGGAGCTGTATCTCCACGGTAGATGGGACAATGCTAGCAGGGAGTTGTGTAGACCCAAATCAAAAGTTATTGAATCACTTATGTTTTTCACACTTTGTAATGTATACTGAGAATTGAAGCAAAATAGCTTTTTCTAAATCAAAGTTTATTTTACTTCTCTGAAGTGCAATTTCTTATGCAATATTCTTCTGACTATTCAATTTATTTTCAAATTCTAGAAGAATCATGCATGGGAATACTGCATAGAAAAGATTATTAGAATAACCTGTGAAATGGTCACAAAATAGTGTATTTGGGTGGGTGGGGGTGGGGTGGGCGTGACGGCGTCTCGCTCCGTCGCCCAGGCTGGAGTGCAGTGGCGTGATCTCCGCTCACTGCAAGCTCCGCCTCCGGGGTTCACGCCATTCTCCTGCCTCATCCTCCTGAGTAGCTGGGACTATAGGCGCCCGCCACCACGCCCGGCTAATTTTTTGTATTTTTAGTAGAGACGGGGTTTCACCTTGTTAGCCAGGATGGTCTCGATCTCCTGATCTCGTGATCCACCCGCCTCGGCCTCCCAAAGTGCTGGGATTACAGGCGTGAGCCACCGCGCCCGTCCTAAATAGTGTATTTTGAAGAACTGGGTAAAAACTCTTTTGGACTGTCTCTTAACTGAAATTAACTAATGTGTTCCATTATCTGAATAACATTCATAAACGCCATGGTACAATGGACACTCGCGGCTGATAGCGTAATGTCTCTGGCTATCTGCACACATTGGCTTTCATCAATCAAGCAGGGCACTTCCCGAAAGTCGGTTTTGTTCTCACACTTGTTTAAGTAAGTTGTCCTTTAGATAATTATTAATTTAATTTTTACAATATTATTTACAGAAAGGGCTTTGGTCAAGTTCAAATGATTTATAAATACATAGATATACAAACATTTAAAGCTTAAATAAAATATTTAAAGTATTATATATTATTTTTATTTTTCACTTTATTTAACTTTTAAGTTGAATAATTGATTATTGGTCCCAAATCAGAACACTTCCAGGAAGTAGAGTCACTGCCTAGTATTTTCTCCGGTTATTCGTCACCACTAGTGATTCCTTCTTTGGGATCTTGAGAACTTTGACTATCACCAGAGTTCCTGTTCAAAGGGTACAATTTTCTGAGAGTATGAACATCTTAAGTATTATGAACTAATATCTGAGGAGTGACAAAAAACTGACTTCCAACTGGACAGCTGGACATTGCTAAGAAAGGCCATACTGCAGATACCTCAAATGCAAATGGAAAATAAAAATATAGTTAACTTGGGAGGCTGAGGCGGGCGGATTGCCTGAGGTCAGGAGTTCAAGACCAGTCTGGCCAACATGGTGAAACCTGGTCTCTACTAAAAATACAAAAAAAATTAGCTAGCCGTGGTGGTGTGCACCTGTAATCCCAGCTACTTGGGAGGCTGAGGCAGGGGAATTGCTTGAACCAGGGAGGTGGGGGTTGTAGTAAGCTGAGATCATGCCACTGTACTCCAGTCGGAGTGATAGAGCGAGACTCCATCTGAAAAAAAATACATATATATACATATGTATATAAAATTACCATCACAATTTTTCCTGAAGCCTGGTGTGTAAAGGGCAATATATTTAAGAAAAACAAGTAAGGCCTCTTCCTGGAATGCTAAGAGGAATGTCTTATTTTTTTTACTATAATTAAGTGTATGTGAGGTTTAAAATAAGGATAAAACAAATATAAAAGAAGCAACTGAGCCAAAAAGAGTCGAGGCCAATTAAGTTATATAATGTAACCCCTGACTGTGTGTCAGCTCATCACTTCAGGGGACCAAGTTTTCTTAAATATTCCATTCTGCTCAGACTAAAAGCATTGATGAAAAGCAATTCCAGTTGCTTGAAAATATTTGAATAGCTGAAGATTATTTGTTGGCCAAAAAAATTATTTCCTATACTTTCCTGAAAAAGAAATTTTTAAGTTAAAAGTTGCATCTTAGATGTATAGTCTGTAAAAATATAAAATAATACTTTCCTGAATTGTAATTCACATATTCAACATTATCACATCTTCTGTTCACAGGAATAAATTTAGGTTCCTCTGTATTTCATCTTATTCAAATATTACCATATAGAATATTAATTTTTAAGAGTCTTATTCATGGTGCCAACAAACCAAACTTATAATAATAAACATGCTTTTTGGAAAGATAACATTTAAAAATTCTTATGTTATTTCTAAAAGTAAACCAAATTATGCAAGTAATATCCTAATATATCAAGAAAATATAAAAGATTCATATAAATTATTAGTGTAGTGAATTTATATTGTCAAAATAAATATTTAGAACAATTGTGTTATTTACTGGGGAAATTAATATCATTTAAAATAGTATGAATTTGTTAAGAAAAAAATTTGACTTACAATTGGTGAACACCCAATCAGAACAAATCTAAAGGAGGTAGGGCAGGTTTTATTACTTGCAAGAATTCTGATGTGATATTAGGAAAACATGAAATATTTAAGTAGAATTCTAAGACTTTGGGTTTACACAATGGTCAGTCTTTTGAAATATTCTATAATTCTAGCATAAAGCATCCATTGTTAGTATATGAAACAAGGCAGAAGATGAACAACAATAACAATAAAACTTCTGATTTAAAAACGTACTTCTTAAGCCAACAAACTTGGGAAGTAATGGAATATTCAAGATTTATGTTCATATATGTGTGACTATTACATTTGTTGCTTGCCTGTGGAATCTGTAAAAGATGTATATTTTTGACACAGAAGATAAAAATCCTTAGAGAAATTATAGAGAAGGAGATTGTGAATACTATAAACAATAAAGCAAGTGAAGACAGCAACAGACACCAGTCTCACAGAAGTAGCAATAGCCATAGCTCCAGGCTGTGATTTTGGAAATGATGAGAAAACAAAGCTCAGAGTTTTAGAAATCAGCTTTTCCTTTACCTAAATTTAAAATCATGACTCAATTCAAAATCTAGGTAATACACTTCTCCTTTATTTCTGATTCTAGGTCCATAAAGTAAATAGTCTTGGATGCAATTTACAATTGGAATTCTCACAACAAATACTAAAATATGGAAAAAAAGTTGCTGAGTGTCTACAGTCTGGGTTTCTGGATTTCCTCCTGGAAATATCTGATATATTAGATAGAGTTGAACGGTTGTCTCAAGTTGTCTTAGGTGTATGATTCATTTGCAAATTCTATTCACAGTTAAAATAAGGTGTTTTGTACAATGTTTAACTTAATAGTAGCAAAATTTAATTTCCAATCTGGGACCAGCTTTCACTTAATAAAGATAGAATTGTAAATAAATAAACACTTGTATACATATAGCATATCTATAAATATGTGCATATTTTAAATAATAAATATGCACATATTTATGTATACACACATAAAATATATATGTATATAAATGTGCATAAAATAGTGATATTTACAAGCTTATGCTGTCTGTGTTATATGCAGGTGTGCATTTATTGCTTTTTAACTGGACAAAAGTAAGTCATTGCATTTGCAGTATTACCTACAAGTATTCATAAATTACATGTGGTGAAGGGATATTATTGTGTGTAATTATTAAACATACAACCATTTGTCTGATAAAGTATTGGATATATAATTTTTCTCATACTTTCTATGTAGTTCTTTACTTCTTTTTTAACCCAACATACAACTGCTTCTTCTCTTCTCTTGAAGTTTGTTCTCTAGAACTCCCAAACTCCCATTCACTTTATTCAACAAGGATACTCTTGCATCATTCTTTTTATTTTATTTTATATTTATTTATTTATTGTGAGATGGAGTCTCACTCTGTCACCCAGGCTGGAGTACAGTGGCGCAGTCTCCACTCACTGTAACCTCTGTCTCCTGGGCTCAAGCAATTGTCCTGCCTCAGCCTTCTGACTAGCTGAGATTACAGGCACCCGCCACCATGCTCAGCTAATTTTTGTATTTTTAGTAGAGACAGTTTCACCATGTTGGCCAGGCTGGTCTCAAACCCTTACATCATTCTTTATTTTCCACAGAATATTTAGAAAAGGATGAAGAAGGAGAAGAAGAGGAGTTATAGATCAAGTATCTTCACACTGGGATTATTTAATGGTTCTCCCCGGCTCCCTCACGTGTCTACATACCATTCAAGTAGACAAACTGACTGGCTTTGGTTTCGCACTATCTTTTCAAAAATATTTTTATAGTGAACAATCTTGGCATGTAGAGATAATGTCTCCTTTTGGAACAAAGGGAAGACATGCTTATTTCTGGTAAAATAATGAAATGTCTTGCTACAGAGGAAAAGCAAATAAGCTTAGTATCCAAGATAAAACATGTTGGTCCACTAAACTCAGCGTTTCTCCTCTGTCGTTTAACACACTACAGGGGCAGGTGTCATCTGTTACTTTTCACATGGTCCTGTGGGTATTTGGTCTTAGCAGACCAACAAGATAACTGTTTATTGTCATGGCTATGAATATTAAACTATCCTTTATGTCTGTCAGGAAAATCTTGTGTTTTTCCACAGAACTGGAATTCATGAAACTTGACAGTTTGCAGGTAAAGAAAAATCTTAGACACCTCATAGTTCTTGATATTTTCCATTGCTCAGTGTTTATTGCCTTAATGATGCTCATGAAGTCTTGCATCACCTAAGTTGCTGCTTGCTTAACCAGCCTTATTGCTTGTCCTTGGTACCCTCCCTAATTTTCCCTTGCCATAGCTATAGCCTTATACATCTGTGTTCCTGCTATTCTGACTTACTTTCATTTTGTCTCTTCTCATATAACTATTTCTTTTGCCTTATAAATACTGCCTCATATGCCACTTAAGGAACATACAGGTTCTTCCAAAAGTTCGCTAGATTTTTCATGCAATTTAGCATGCTCTCTGCCCAATGAGCATTTTTGAACACCTTCCAAATATTTGGGAAATTTCTAAATCTTGAATGCATAATTTTGCAAGACTAGGACTAAAACTTTATATTTTTTAGCCTCCCTTATGACCGTGACAATCAGATCTACCTAATCTAGATGCTAGTAGAACTGAAAAATTAGGCCACCTAGAGATTTCACCCTGATAGGTCAGCAGAAGAGATATTCAGCTTTCAGATTCAGCATTAACAGCAATATAAGAATCTAAGAGTCTAGTATTTGTAATGGAGTTTTAATATTCATGCTCCCTAACAGCAGAAATGTTTCACCAGCAGAACAGTCCATGGTATAATTTTGGATTTATATATCCGTGTGTGTGTGTGTGTGTGTGTGTGTGTGTGTGTGTTTCAAGACTTTCCAGAAATTTAGTGAATATAAACACTTTAAAAATAATTTTTGCACAATTTTTATAGGATTATTTCCAGTGTTTGCACTAAGGAACAGTGACTACTAGTTTAGTACCAAGAGCATTTTAGGTAGAAGATGCTCAAAGTAAAAAAGAGAATGGAGAACTAGAGAAATGGTTGTTAGATCTCTTTCGGTGTGAAAATAATGAAAAGCATGCTTTTATTACAGAAAGGAATAAGATGGAGCCATCTCCTACAGAAGTAAGCAGTTAAATTATCACATATGTTATTTAGAAAGATGTGCAAAATAAACGCAAGGCTTTGAGAACTAGATAGCAACTCATAAGTAATATTATCAGGGGCACAAAGAATACAGAAACTGAAGAGTTAGGTTGGCTATTTCTAACGGTGCCAGAGAAGTGAAGAAAAGAGAGTGGAAAATAAGTTGAGAATTTTCAGCTCAAAACACACTCAAAGGCAAAGGAACTATCTCTCTGCTAAAAGAATCTTAACTTTTTGGGATACGGTGCTCATACAGCCAAAATTCACATGAAGAGTTTGCTCTTTTTGGGTGCCAATTTAGATCAATTTAATTCACAGTCAGGCAGGACATGAACAATGCCTGGGCAGTTCTTCTCTATCTCAATGTGTTACATTCCTAAGAGGGACAAGACCAAAGCCTGGACTATTTTGGGCCATTCTTTTCTATCTCAGGATGTTGCCTTCTGCAGTTATTCTGGGAACTATGGGCAAGAAGAAGGAGAATAATCTGGGTCAGCAAAGGCCATCCAAGGACCATCCTGCAGGATGTTGAAGGCCTCTTTATTCATAATCACTAGAAACCAGGAGGAACCAAGATATCCTTCATCATAGAAATGAAGAGACTGCAATATATCCAGTTTCCTACGTAAGACTTACTTCACTTATCAGTAAAAATGAGACTTGAACATTCTAAAGGGGTCACAAAAGATTTAAAGGACTCAGACCCTCAGAGTCCTCTGAATATATTTGCCAGCCAAAGCAGTTTTGTGTGTTGATCCTTTTAACTTTTGATAGAACCATTTCTGCATTGCTTTAACCTGCTGAACCCATCTAACCTGAGGCAGCTAATTTACAAAGAGAATCCTAATCTTTTTGTTTTGCCACCCCCCAATGTGTCATTTTCTCTAGCTCTATAACAGTAAGGCCCAAACTTACCCTCAGCGAACAAATTACAAAGTAAAACCCAAGGAAAGACAGCTTATTAGTTAATTGAATAATTACAAAATTTTCTTATTTGCCTATGTCTATTTCTCTATCATCTTGTGCATTGATCACCAATCACTTATCACTTATCAATGATCTATCTGTATATATATACATATACTGATATATATATACATATATACATATATTTTAATAGCATATGTACACATAAAATATATACATTTATTGAGATATAAAAGTAATTCCTGTGTAAAGTTTATGGATTTTAAATAAGCTTAACTAGGAAGGAAAATATAATTTTATATCAGACTATGTATTGATTTTAGTGCTGCAGCAGACAGCCTACATAACAGCTAAAATCTGCACATATCTCTGAAGGGTTGCCCTTGGGTAATACAAGTCATGTCGTCCAAAGCTTACTCTGACTTGCAATTTCTGATCGTTAATTAACAAATTAATTAAATATGGACTGGGTATAAAAATTATTCCCCCATGTTGAAATAAAATGTGGTGCTGGCCGGGCGTGGTGGCTCACACCTGTAATCCCAGCACTTTGGGAGGCCGAGGCGGGTGGATCACGAGGTCAGGAGATTGAGACCGTCCTGGCTAACATGGTGAAACCCCATCTCTACTAAAAATAAATAAATAAATGAATAAAAATACAAAAAATTAGCCAGGTGTGGTGGTGGGCGCCTGTAGTCCCAGCTACTCAGGAGGCTGAGGCAGGAGAATGGCATGAACCCAGGAGGCGGAGCTTGCAGTGAGCCCAGATCGCACCACTGCACTCCAGCCTGGACGAAAGAGCGAGACTCTGTCACAAAAAAAAAAAAAAAATGTGGTGCTATTTTCACTCTAGATCCCACTGCAGGATGAGGCTGAAGCTAGATCTCACTGAAATCCCATCCTTGCTTATTTTCACCTTTTCTTCCTTCCTATTTCACTTTCCTCACCCCTTTACTTGCTCCTTGATTAAGTATTCTCTCATTAAATCAACGTGTATATGAATCTCAACTCAAGTTATTCTTCTAAGAAACCCAACCTAAAAGAGTCATTATTAGGAGAGGTCCTAGGAAAGAGACACTCACGATGAGATTCCAGAACTGGAGCATCTTCCAGTTGGCTGACAACTGGGATATCATTACTCATGGAAGGAGGAGTATTGATAATTTCAAGCATGCAGTTGCAGTACAATTGCTAAGGTTTTCAGCTGTGGTGACCAGAGAGGGGATACAGGCACAAAGGCTACAGTGGCTTATGAAAAATTCTGGTATTGAACAGATACAGTGGAGATGATAACTATAGACTGCGGAATCACATGATTGTTGCAAATCACCATTAATACATTAGAGAGAAAAGAAGGACAGGCTCCATTCAATTAATCATCAATTTAAAGCAAAGTGTTAAAGTCAGAGGTCCTCATTGGCAGTGTTTAAAGTGACCCTCAATGCGGCACTCAAAGGCAGAATATCAAGCTCAGGAGCACAGGAGCAGGGAAGTCTAAACGCTCAGTAAAGATGAACCTTCTATGCCAACATCAGGGTCCTTATAGGAAAGATGTGGTACCTTGACTCTAGATTGGGAGATCTGGGTAGGTGCAGGTGCACTGGAAAACTTTGAACTCTGAAGCCTCTGGACTTGCAAAAATGACTCTGTCCTCTTATTAAAAGACAGTATCCTTCTCCCATGCTTGAAGACTACATGGTGGCTTTAAATGATGCAAATGACTCACATGACAGCACCCTCTCTCCTCCTGCCAATTATAGTAACAGCCAAGTTTAATTCCCAGAGATCTAACTAGGGAGAAGCTGAGCCTGTCACGAGTAGAATGAAATTATGTATACAGAAGGAGCTGCTGAGCCTGACTAACATATATTGGCAAAAACAAAAAAAATGTGCCTAGTAGCGGATCTCGAGGAATCCGGACTAAAAGGAGAGGAATATAAAGCTGGAAAAGATGAACTTTCTCAAAGTGGAGCACTCAAGGTAAACTTTCTCAAAATGTAGCACTCCCTTCTAGAGACTGTTCCATTTCGAGCAAGTTCACCTCATCCAGCTTTATACTCCTTCCTCCATAGTCAGACTTCCTCAGGAGCCACTCCTAGGCATGTTCTCTTCATTTCTGCCAGTATCAGTTTGTCAGGTTAAGTAGCTCTTAATGGGTGCAATGTACACTATTTGGATGATGGTTACGCTAAAAGTCCAGACATCAGTACTATACACTATATTCATGTAATGAAACAGCACTTGTACCCTCTAAATCGAAAGAAAGAAAGAAGAAACAAAAAAGAAAGAAAGAAGAAAGAAAGAGAAAAGAGAAAGAAAGAAAGAGAAAGAAAAAGAAAGAGAGAGGGAGGGAGGGAGGAAGGAAGGAAGGAAGGAAGGAAGGAAGGAAGGAAGGAAGGAAGGAAGGAAGGAAGGGAAAGAGAGATATGACATTGGATACATTTGATGTCCAGCAAAGTCCTTAGGAAACAGTGCAGATAGAGTGCGGGGGTAGGAGTTGGAAGTTTCACAAATAACATAATCCACCTTAAATAAAGTACAGCTGTAAGGTGTGTGACAGTGGAAGACGGAAGAAGGAATATAAGGCTCAGAGAATTGAGAATGCTAGAAATTACCTACTATGTGAGACTTGCAAACTTACCAGATGAAAATGTTCCTTAGGAAACCCAGAGCACATTCTGTTGTTCAAGGTGACAAGATATGGTCAACAGGTGCTATCTCCTGTGGGACTGAGTTGACAGAGTAAATAAGAAATGATGGCAAATCTCAGGTGAAATGGTAGGGAAAATTGACAGTCAAGGACTTCAGGGTTGGTGGTCCTCCTTGTACACCTATCTGGCTCCTGAAAAACGTAGATGCAACATTGAAGGTGACAGTGGATGACCGCAAACTTAAGAACACAGCAGCTCCAATTTCAGCTGTTGTACCAGATGTGACATTTCTTACTGAAAGATACTACTACAGCATTTGGTAGATGGTACACAGCTTTTGGTCTGACATTCTTCCCTTCTCCTTCAAGAGAGGGCAGAAAAGAGTTTGCAATCACTTGATTGGAATGGCAGTATGTATTTGCATGTTGCCCCAAGGCTATGCTATTTCTCTATCTCTCTGTCACAATATAGCCACCAAAAACATGAAATCTGAACATTGAGCAGACTTTTACCATTGCTCTACTATATTGATTCCAGTGAGTTAATCAGACCTCCAGCCTCTGCATACTTTTGTGAGACACAGGCACTCTGGAAGATTATAGATAACCCTCACAAAGTTTCAAAGGTTTGCCATATTGGTGAATATTTTAGCAGTCCAGTATTCCTGGGCATATCAGGACAGCTTCTCTCAAAATGTACTAGCTATTCAATGTTACCACTAAAAAATGACCACAATATGTGGCCAGTGCCCACAGTTTAGAGGCAGAATAATTTACACTTGTGAGTACTCTTAGATCCTTTTATCGAGTAATATGACTGTCTGCTCATTTTGAGTCAGGTTCAAGGCAAGTACAAGAAGAATGACACTTTGTCCATAGGATCTATTGTATACCATAGTAATACTAGAAATATCTATGAGAGAAAGAACATTTCATGTGGAGTCTCCAGCAAGGCTCAAAAGAAGAGTTTTAATGCAAAGCTATAGGATTCTGTTCCCATTTGTAACAGAAAACTGTACACCATTCAAAAGCAGCCCTTATCATGTTAGTGGGACTTGGTAATAAATGAGTACCTGTCCATCAGTTGCAAATGACCTGGCCACCCAAGCTGCCCATCATGAGCTGTTTGCTTTCAAATTCACTACATAATTGGGTTATTGAGTAGACATAGCAGCATCCATCGTAAGATGAAGATCATACATCTGGTATTGGTCATATGTAAACTAAACTGCATACACACGTAGTTCATATGTTCATGTCAATCCCCTCTGTTGTACCAGCATCACTGCTGTATATATATTCATAGACATATTTATAAAATATTATAAGTAATACAATGAAAATATTACTTATGTGAGCTGAGAGTTGAATAATGTACTAGACTTGATTCAGGGATGAATTGGCTTGGTATGTTAGTGCAGATTGAAATGGTCTAAAGACATGTTTAGACACGAACTTAAAAGCCACTAGGCATAGATTGCTCTCCAATGAACAGAGCTTTTGGCACTGCAACTGGCTATCTAGTTGATTTGGAGATAAAGTGGCCTAGTTTAAAGACATACATGGATGTATGTGCATTTACAAACAGCTTGACATTTGTGCATTTACAAATGGTTGGTCTGGTGTCTTGAAGAAGCAAAATTTAACAGTCATGGAAACAGATGTTTGAGGAATAAATACATAGACAGGTCTGTGGAACAATATACAAATTGTAGGTGTCTTTTTACTGCACAGTAACATGTATCAGGAAGCATTCACTGCAGAATAGTTTCTAATAAAACAAATGGACAGAATTATTTTGTCAAGACACATTAACCTCAAGGTTTATAAATCTTGTTCCTCAGTGACCTCACAGCTTGTGCAATGGTGAACTCATTGACTAAAGTTGGCAGGTGGCAGAGGTCAAGTCTACGCCAATACCCACCCACATGGGCTTCTTGTCACCAACTGCTGTTTCTAAATGTCCAAACTGTCGGCAGAATATAAAGAAACTGACTCCCACCATAACCTACACACTTGCAGAGACCTACAAGGCACTTGTTGCAAGTTGATTACATCATTCCAAATTTTACTCAAAGCTACATTTTTATAGCTTCTTCCTCTTTCTCCAGTTCCTTACCTCATTCCCTAATCAATTTCTCCTAAGAACACTCCTTTAATAAATCAAATAGACATAAGTCTCCATCTCAGGCTCTGCTTCTAGGGCATCTGACCTAAGACAAGTGTACTTTCCAGAGATTGTGATTAAAACCTGGTAATTCAATAGGTAGACAGATGTTCAAATTGTTTGCTTGGTTGACTAACTAAAATCTCTACTTAACTGTGGCCTCCTGCAAATGAACTTGAAGGACAGAAATTGCTTGCTGAGAAGAGAAGAAAGAATCTAAAGTTTTAAAGAATAGTAATGCAACCTAATCCTTAAATATATCCCTTAACTAGATACAGGAGGTGCTATTTTAACCTTAAGATTGACAAGTTTATTGGTGAGCAGAGTGACAGCATCATTGAAATGTGCCACCGTGTTTGTTCTCTTCAGGGAAAATATGTGGCAGTTGAAACAGGCTTTCTGATTTAAGTAGGGATATGGGTTTTTTGAGTTGCTGAGGCCAACTGACAGCAGTTAACCTTCAGAGGCAAGGTAAGCATGGGATATTTTGGTTGACCACTGCTGGGATCTTTGTTAGTGAATAGTATACTATTAGGTTCCTAGTCTGGAAATAGGTGAGCAACATACAAAAATAGCACTTGGTCTATTTAACAAGGAAAACAACTCTAGAACAGCTTTGAGTTTCCCTGATAATTACAAAAACTCTCACTCATTTTCTGGACCCAATTCAATTATCAGACTCAGAGTCACTTGAACGAAGAATACACTGGGAATCTTTGAGGAAATATCTTCCCAAAACATGAAAGTTAAGCACAAACTTCTTAATAGATGACATGCATTCAGGATATTCCTGAAAATAACAATTCATTGAGGAAAGAAGATATCCAGAGACAATGGAGATTACTGCAGAAAGACCATTAGTTAAATCTAAACTTCTGGAGCACAAAACACCATAGTAGTTGAATGCTTAGGGTGTAGATTTATGGAGTTCAAGTTAAAAGTAGAGTTTTCAACTTAAATAGGTGACAAGTTGGGACAATTGGAAACCAAAGATTATGTCAAGATTAATTTCCCATTTCCTAACTGTGTGATTAAAGTAGCTACAGCATTCACCCTGTTGATGTTCCACATTTACTCACTGAACATAGAAGGGAGGGAAAGTGGACAGCACTCCAAATATAATTCTTCTCACCAATCTTATTCACTTTATAACATATTTCCCAGAGGTAATGCATAGCTAGGATTTATAGAACTAATTTGTGTATACTCTCTAGAAATTACCAGTGGTTTCGCTTCTTTGTTTGACATATAGGCACTTGATACCAATTGTTCTCATCAACTCTTTTGATAATGGAAAATTCTAAATAAGCAAATTAAAAATTCATAGAGGAGGACCCTGAACGTGGCTGTACTATTTTTGAGAAATGGATCTTAGTTTATTACTAAGTCACAGAATGAACTGCATGACCAACATAGAACACAAGGTAACCATTTGAATGGAGTTGCCTTTCATGAACCTGGTATTATCTTATTCATTAGGCTATAAAATAATGCATTACTAGCAGTATTTAATTGCTAAATTGAAGTAATGAATATGAAGCAAAGTCAGTCCCCTAAGGTAATATTAAGTTAAATAAACATGTAGCTCACAATTTTTATATACTTACTCCTCCCAGCATGTCCCCGCTCCCAAAGCTCACCTGTTTAGTTCCCTTGACATACCTCTACGGTTGTTTAACTGAAAAGAAACTTTGAAAAAGAAATCTGGTTATAAGTACAAGATGATTTTGCACAGTTTGTTAACATAGGCAGAAGAGATCTGTTAGACATAATAATTATGCTGGTGTCTGGGGAGTGAAGACAGTAGGGGAGAGAAATTGTATTTTTTATTGATAAATGTAGTTATCTGTCCTCATTATCTGGAAGAAAAGATAAGCTGAGGTTAAGATTCACCAGTTAATAGGAAAATCTGTCTGGTAAGCAGTTTCAGATTTTTAACAAAAGCTATTAGAGAATTAGTTAGAAGGACATTTTTCAGAAAAAAAGGCAAAGGTAAATCAAATTTGATAATAACTGACCAAATGTGAATGTTGAACCAAGGCTTCTTATTGTACATAAAGTCTTTCAAACTTAGGTTGACACTAAAATTTGCTGTTACTGTCAGGCACTCTTTTTCCCTATCTCTAATGCTTTTGAAATAAATGTATAGATATTTTCCTTGTTGGCATGGACTCAGCAACAGTATTTTTATTTCGGTAATACCAATCTGGTTAGACTTGCTGAGTTTCCAATATTGCTGACTCCCAAGGAAAACTACCATGGTATCACATATCCAGTGTACCAATAGCTAATAGAGGTCAGTTGATTCAATTGCATCTTGTCATTTATCGTAGGTAAAGCAAACACCAATTATATTGTATTACAATTCGATTTTGTGTTTTCTGTTCACCACACATCTGTCTATAATCTCATTTATTAATTTAGCAAAATATACTTACTACACATTTCATGCATACCATTGATTTTGTCTAAAATATTTATTTTGTGGTAGAGAAGTATGGAAAAAAGTAATTTCCTTGTGATTTGCTGATATTAGCAAATACCATATCATCTACCAGAAGCTCATTTTACATAACAGGAAGAACTAGATACCTTATAAATTTAAGGTTAGATCCCACATGATATGGCACATGTTCTAAATCAAGAAGTAATATGTTACTGTTTCTCTGATAATCAGAGTATATGGATGGTGTCCTGAAATATTATATCTAATGAAATATAATTTTTACCTTATATTTTTATCATTCTAGTCTCTACTAGATTTGAAGTTTTAGTTTCCTCAGAAGAAGTAATTCCACCAAGAGAACACCAAATCATTTCATCAAATAAGTTCAGATTCACATTTGAACATCTTAGGTCACTGAACAAATAAATCCCTCTCTGTCTATCCTCAGTCACTACGGGCTTTCCACTCTAACATGTTACTTAGGCAACATTCGTGGCTGTGCAGCAGCCAACTTGGTTCTTTTGGATTTCCTGGAAAATCTGCAAGTGACTTAATATCATATAACAAATGCTTTTCCTAATGAAGCTAACTAGATAGATGTATGATAATGATTGTCATGATTGTGTGTTCTGTAGGCTTTACGTGAAACCTAGAATTTCCAGGATACTTCATTCACTCTTGTATCCACCGAAAGTAGAAATTAAACAAGATCTAAAGTGACATCATGGAGGTCAGTAAGACAATACAAAGGTGAAAAATAGTGTATTACACCATGAGACAAGGATGCTGAGATGTTTATTGAAGATATTAGTTCCTTGACTTGATTTTACATATACGTTTCTGTTTTTTCAGAATTACACAATGCTTAGTCCATTAAGAGAACTTTATCTTTGTTGTTTTTATGGCTTCATTGTCATTGTTACTGCTTTGTGTCGGTTTAGGTGAGTTCTGTTGGCAGTCTAAGAGGGGGACAGTACTGGACTGCTTTCAGAATAGTTGGCTGGCCAACATTTATATGCAATTTTTCTCTCTTAGAGGAAAGTTTTCAACTTATGAGATCATATGATTCTCAAAAGTAGAAAGCAGAACCTCTTTTTTTAGGTAGCACATAGCTATGGCTCAGGCATATGATATAAAATGCTTCAATTAGGTACATGTTCATAGAACTTCGATTCAGAAAGTGGCATCATATAGAAATGTTTATTACTGATTATATTCTGATGAAGATAGATAGTAGCAGTAGTGTCATATTCAGTGCCCACTGTAAGTGATGTGATCTATGACATCAGTACTCAGAAAGGTCACTGAAGACCCTCCACTGTAAAAGCCCTGAGATGCAATTTAGGCAACATTCATGGCAGTGCAGCTGCCAAACTTGGTTCATTTAAATTTCCTGGAAAATCTGCAAGCGACTTAATATCATTTAACAAATGTCTTCCCTAAGGAAACTAACCAGTATGAATTTTAAAAAATTATTTTAAATTCAGAAATCATAACATCACACTCTTATGCCCCATAGCATATATTGTGTCATTCTTAAAATCTCATTATTATACTGTTTTGCTACTTCTTGTCTCTATCTATTGTCTCCCCAGCTAGAATATAAATTTCACAAAGGCAGGAAGTAAAGCTACTCATTATTTTTGAAAATTTAATCTTAGCACTTACTAGAGTCTGACATGAATCAGAATCTGAAAAATGTTTATTAAGTCAAATATATTAATTGCCAAATTATAATTTTGCATGTAAATGTTAATTGTTCAAGTTTTCATTCTTATTTGCTTATCATAAAGTTATAATGCATTCTCTAATGGATAATAATCTTATCCAATATATAATAGAAAAGTAAATAGAATTTTTTCTGCTAGAATGCAATGTATATGCTTCTGTAAATATTTCATTCTGCAGAATGTACTCTAAAAAGAAAGTTTAGGGGGAGATTCAGTCTAGAGGCAGACCACAGAAGAGTAAATACAAATTTGTAACCAGAGCACTAACCAAAACAACTCTAATAAAATTAATTAAAATATTTTCTAAATATCTGTTAATTTCTTAATAAATAAATAAATATTATATTATATAAATGACGTTTCCTTTAAAGAACAGGTGAAACTCCTTGACATCGCTGAATTATGAGGAACCAAAACACAAAGTGCACAAAGATTACGTAGCCTCATACAATAAACACTTCCAAGATAAAGCTCAAGGCTAACATGGGCATAATAGAAGGAATGGAAGACAAATAGATGTGCACATTACTGTTTTCTACTGATGCTTGCTGCATTTTCCTGTTTAATATGCCCTGTATCCACTTGATTTTATTTAATGGTGTATAATATTAGTGAACTGGGAAAATAACACGTGAATGAATGCAAATTTTACTTTATTCTGATGTCTTCTTTATATTTACCAGTCCCATTCAAACTTACTGAAAAAAATACAAATTTCAACTACCCCTTAATTATTAGAAAATAATGCATAAAGTATATGGCAACTGAATTTAATAAATTAAAAGTCTTAAAATACCCTAAGAAAGATTAAATTTTCAGTTACTAAAATGGCTTTCACAAATGAAATGTCTTCTATGTTTCAGACATATTTGCTAGACATTTCTCATATATTATTAGTAATCCATAAAATAAGCATGCATATTAATTTACTCTAATTATCAACAGAAGCCATTTGCAGAATTGAAGCTTTCTCATCCTTCAAATTTCTCAGCATTAGATTCTCAAGCATCAGAAACTAAAAGGTAGGACATACTGGGAAGTGACTTCAGAAATTTATCTTAGATTCAGGTAACACAAAGCTGCAAGGTCCTTACATACCCTTTATTCTGAAACAGCAACATTTAAGGATCTGATCATTTGAAGAAAATAAACATATATATTCAAGTCTGAGTATCAATCAGCTAAATTAAAGGCAGAGAATAATCTTTATATATGCAAAAAAATACTAGATACATATCTATCGTTTTATTTAGTTTGTATAGGATTTGAATTTTAAAATTCTGCAACAACATCCCCTGGAATTTATAGATCAACCTGTCAATGATTTTATTGCTACTTTCATTTCCCTGTTATATGTTCTGAAATATAAAATGCTGTGTTTTCTGAAACATAAAAAGTAATATTTTCTGAAAATATAAAATTCTGTATTTTCTGAAGTATTAAAAATTTATGTCTTCTGCTTTCCTTTCATGAACTCAGACTGTTTTACATCCACACTCTAAACATATAATTTCATTAATACTATAAAGTCAAAAGCAGAAAAATAAAATTAGTTCTTTTTCCCCCATAAAATTTCTTCTATGGATAGAAATAAGGCCGTAAAGATCAAACCATATATAAGTGTTGTGGAACTCCAGAAAATAATTTCCCATGTAATGTGGGGTTAAGAAAGGGCTTGTTTTGAGCAGCATGACCCATAGGCTTTGCAACGGGAAAGCACTTAGTTTGAAACCCCTCCAGCCTTTATTGGTGAGATCAGAACAATATGTTATATCTCTCAAAATGTTACCGTCCTTGTCTGTTAAAGCTAGCAATTAGTCATTTAATTCCACTGATTTTTACCTTAGTTTGGATGTGCCCAGTATTACACACACCCATACTTCCCCTTTCTTTCTTTCTTATTGTTTCTTGCTCTCATTTTTTTATTCCATTAGCTTGTACTACCAAATATTCCTTGGCTATTTTTCTAACAAATATATGTTTCATTCTAAAACATACTGAGCATTGTGATAATTTTCTATCAAATTAATTATTTGTTTTAGATAAGGGCACTTTTAAATTTCACATAGGCAGAAATTCAATAGAAGCAAAACAAAGACTCATGAGACACAGAACTTCACCTGCTTTTTCTATTGAAGGAAGGAGTGTTTGACCCTCCTTTCATATCAGAATAACCTGACAAACATTAAGAATATTGTGATCTGGCCACACTAACAGCAATTCCAATTTGATTGGCTGGAATAGAGCCTAAGAATTGCTATATTTTGAAGCTTAACATTTGATTCAAATAGGCAACAGATTTGAGAATTGCTAAAGCAATTAATAGAGTATTAAAACAGTTCTTAATTACTGAAATCTTGTTGATACTCAGGGATGCTTGTTGAATTGTGGTAGGCAAACTTCTAAGATGACTCCTGTGATGGTTAACAGTGAGTGTCAACTTGGTTGAATTTAGGGATGCAAAGTATTGTTCCTGGGTGTGTCTGTGAGGGTGTTGCCAAAGGAGATTAATATTTGAGTTGGTGGACTGGGAGAGGCAGACCCACCCCGAATCTGGGTGGGCACCATGTAATCAGCTGCCTGCATGGCTAGAATAAAGGAAGCAAAAGAAGGTGGAAGGAGCTGACTTGCTGAGTCTTCCAGCCTTCATCCTTATCCCATACTGACTGCTTCCTGCCCTTGAACATCAGACTCCAAGTTCTTCAGCTTTTGGACACTTGGACTTCACACCAGTGGTTTGCCAGGGCCTCTTGGGCCTTTGGCCACAGAATGAAGGCTGTACTGTTGGCTTCCCTACTTTTGAAGTTTTGGGACTTGGACTGGCTTCCTTGCTCCTCAGCCTGCAGACGGCCCATTGTGGGACTTCACCTTGTGATCGTGTGAGTCAGTACTCCTTAATAAACTCCCCTTCATACATACATCTGTCCTATTAGTTCTGTCCCTCTAGGGAATCCTGACTAATAGAACTTTCAAGACTCCTGCACCTGATGCACACTCCCTGTATAATCCCTTCCACTTGAGTGTGGGTAGAACACTTGTATATGATGGATTTTCTCTCTTTTAATTAGGTTACATTATATGAGCTTCCAATTTAGCAGATTTGATGGAAATATTTGAAGCAAATGAGATTCTCTTGTTAGCTTTGAAGAAGCAAGCTGCTGCTATGTTTGAGGAGGGGCTTGTGGCTAGTATCCGAAGCTAATTTCTAGGAGCTGAGAACAGACCTTCACCAAAATCCTACAAGAAAATAGAATGTTCTTCCTGTAACTGCAAGGAACTAAATTCAGCAAACACATCAAATAAACTTGAAAAAAGACTCAGTGTCTCTGATGGGACCAAACACTCCACCAACAAATTAATTTCTGCCCAGTAAGACCCTGAGCAGACAGTCCATTTAATTCCCACCCGGATTCCTAACTCCTCACAATTCCTAGGTAAGAAGTGTATGCTGTTTAAGTTGCTACGTTTGTGGCAAATTGTTAAGCAGTATAAAACTAATACATAAGTTTCCTGTCTTTTTAGTGGTCGCCATTCTAACTGGCGTGAGGTGGTATCTCATTGTGGTTTGGATTTGCATTTCTCTAATGACCAGTGATGATGATCTTTTTGTCATATATTTGTTGGCCTCATAAATGTCTTCTTTTGAGAAGTGTCTGTTCATATCCTGAGCCCACCTTTTGATGGGGTTGTTTGTTTTCTTCTTGTAAATTTGTTTAAGTTCCTTGGAGATTCTGGATATTAGCCCTTTGTCAGCTGGATAGATTGCAAAAATTTTCTCCCGTTCTGTATGCTGCCTGTTCACTCTAATGATAGCTTCTTTTGCTGTGCAGAAGCTCTTTAGTTTAAATAGGTCCCATTTGTCAATTTCGGCTTTTGTTGCCACTGCTTTTGGAGAAATAGGAATGCTTTTACACTGTTGGTGGGAGTGTAAATTAGTTCAACCATTATGGAAGACAGTGTGGTGAATCCTCAAGGATGTAGAACCAGAAATACCAGTTGACTCAGCAATCCCATTACTGGGTATATACCCAAAGGATTATAAATAATTCTAATATCAAGACATATGCACACGTACGTTTATTGAAGCACTGTTCACAATAGCAAAGACTTGGAACCAACCCAAATGCCCATCAGCGATAGACTGTATAAAGCAAATGTGGCACATATACACCACGGAATACTATGGAGCCATAAAATAGTATGAGTTTATGGCCTTTGCAGGGACATGGATGAAGCTGGAAACCATCATTCTCAGCAAACTAACACAAGAACAGGAAACCAAACACCGCATGTTCTCACTCATATGTGGGAGTTGAACAATGAGAACACATGGACATAGGGAGGGAAACATCACACAATGGGGCCTGTCACGGGGTGGGTAGCTAGGGGAGGGATAGCATTAGGAGAAATACATAATGTAGATGATGGGTTGATTGGTGCAGCAAACCACCAATGTACATGTATACCTATGTAACAAACCTGCACATTCCGCACGTGTATCCCAGAACTTAAAGTATAATAATAATAAAACTAATACATAAGTCAACAAATAACTATGTTTGAATTGTAATGACATGCAACTGATTTTGCTGTCATTATTTTATTCTGACTGAGATCATTATCTGATAATCCTTTATTTTTACTTTTCATTCAACTCCTCATTTTTCAGTGCTTGTTAGTCAAAACATGATGATAAAGAAATGGTGATGAGAGAAGTTATGATGAATAAAATTAGTAGGTAGTTTCAATTCAATTATAATGAAGACATCCAAGAGATGGAGCCTTTTTTTTTATCTGGCATAGGTACAAAAGATTTTGAAGTTTAAAAGGGAGAAGGAAAGTGCTTGTTAAGAACCTTAGTCATACAGAGACAATTTCTTCTAAGCAATCTCTATTTGCACTAGAATATTGTAATAAGTAAGATGATTACATGGAAACAAATCCAAGCGAGCATTGCTTAGCAACAGTTATCACTAGACTGTGGATTTGACATATGCTTAACATGTTGTATTGAAACAAGCAGAAATATTTGAGGACAGAGCTCTGAATTCCTACCTGTTTCTCAATATGCTTTGTGAATTTCAATATGTGTGAATGTGAATATTTTACTAAACATCAAATCACTTCATTCCATTATGAGAATATTCTTGACTTTGCATTATTAGAGACTAATATTTGTAAGAACTGGGGTGATCCACTTCAGGACTCTTCTGTAAGTAATGTATTCCAGAAGCATGCATAATATGTCTCATTTTTTTAAAATGGCATTGATGCCAGAAATGTTTTATTTTTTTGTTTTTTGCCCGTAAGAGTTTACAAATAATAGCATTTGATGTCCTAAAGGTCAGTCACAGCTTATTAAAACTACAAATAATCATTCCTCTACCACCGTCATAATCTATCTGCATTATTCTAATGTCTCCAAATGCTAAGAAGTAATGAAAGCCCGAAATAGAGTAAGGTGAACACTCTATATTTTAGTTATTATTCTCATTACTTACATTTCCTCCTCCTATTTCATGAGATCAAAATATTATTGTGATAAAAATAGTTTTGCTTATGTGCTTATATTAGAATTGTCCTCTGCTTAGCATATAACACAGTAAATGCCTAACTTTAAACACAACCTTTATTCTCTAAACTTGATTCCACTTGAAATATTTTATAAGCATACATTTTTAATATACTTTTGTCAAAAATGTCCTTCATATAATTCACACTTTTAAATCTATGACTCGTAAGGTTTGTTTACTAAGTTTCCCTCTACCTTGCTTTTTCTTTTTGTCAAGCACCCTTTCTTTTCCAGATGATAATATCCTCTTCTAATTTGTGCTCGTTAATCTGCTCATTAAAGCCAGGGTTATCCACGACACTGTGTGGCTTGCTTCTCTCACTGGTTTTCTCAGGCTGACTCCACTGATTCCAAAATCTTTCTCTTCCTGAAGCTACTCTCTCATTTTGCTAGAGCAAACTCAGTTCTCATGAGAAGACACTGGGAACAATGTTGCTCGAAGCTGTGCATGGAAGCAAATATCTTTATTCCACTCATATTGAATTAATATTCTAGATTATTGATTCTAGTGGAAAATATTCATTCTTCAAAAATTTGAAGACATTATTACATTGTTTTTCAATATCCAGTGTTTCAATTGAAACATCTGCTGCCATGTTTATTCTTAATTTTTGGTTCACATCCTTTCATTGCTGGTGATGGAAGAGGTGGTCTCTGCAGTCTTGATAATGACCTTAATATTATATGATGATGCTTACAATGGGTTTTTTTAAAATTACACCAAACAAATTAATTTTCAAGGTCTCATTTTTCTCAGATTACTTTTTTATTTTTATTTTTTATTTTATTTATTTATTTATTTATTTATTTATTTATTTTTGAGACAGAGTTTTGCTGTGTTCCTTAGGCTGGAGTGCATGGCACAGTCTCAGCTCACTACAACTTCCAGCTCCTGGGTTCAAACGAATTCTCATGTCTTAGCCTCCCCAGTAGCTGGGATTACAGGCATGCTCCACTGTGCCTGGCTAATTTTTGTATTTTTAATAGAGACAGAGTTTCACCATGTTGGGCAGGCTGGCCTCAAACTCCTGGCCTCAAGTGATCCACCTTCCTCAGCCTCCCAAAGTGCTGGGATTACAGACATGAACCACTGTGCTCAGCCTCAGATTACTTTTATATCAAGGCATCTAATTCTGATGTATGTATGACTTTCTTCATATATACTAAATATAGTAATTGAAGTTTCATGTGTTTTAGTTCTCCCAATTATTAACTGGTTTTACCTAGTTTATTCAATTTCATGTTAATGCATCTTGTTTATTCAATCAGAAAAAGGCACTAAACTCAGATATGTTAGTTTTGAATACAAGTTTGGTGCTTCTCGACTGTAAGTTTTTTTTTTTTTTTTTTTTTTTTTTTTTGCATTATGTGAAAACAGGCAGGACAAAACGCCTCAATGCTAGGGACAAATGAAAAATGTGGCTGTTATTTTTTTCCTGTATTTATGTTTTTTGCATTTCAATGGTACTACATTAGATTTCTTGTTTGCATTAATTATGTCATTGATACATAAGCCTGCACTTTCACTGAATCTGAAGCTTCACATGCCTTCTCTGTTTTCTACTTCCTTCTCTGTTTTCTGCCTCCTTCTCTGTTTTCTGCCTTCCTCAACTTAAGGAAAATTTTGGTGTTTTGTAGGGTATTTCTTCCCCCAAGTCTTTCATTTGCTGATTTGCATCTCCATTTTCTTTGTCATTGTGGAGTTCTAATATGCCGTTTTTAACTAGAAATGTAGAAAACAAAGACAATTTCAATGTAGATGAATAAATCAAATACCATAATTAACACTGTGTTTTATTACTTTTAAACTTAAAATTTTATTTTTAAATTGCTTTTAAAGTTCTATTTGTAAATTACAACCCTTTCTGTGAAATACTGCCCTTTATTTTTAATTCGTTACTCCTATTGTTTTTATTAACCTATATTTATTTTCTGTGAAGTTATAATAATTGTATACTAATTTTATATGATTCACTTTGAAAATAATTGGCAATGCTACATTATTGTGTCTTACTTAAAAAAACATAATCTATAATGTAATACATTAGATAGTAATGGTGAGAAGATCAATTTGATACAGCAATTTTTGATATGGTATTTGGTTTTATGTCTTCATATCAAATATTTTAAAATGTCCAAAATGTAAGTTTCTTAAAAGCACGGGTTATATGGACCATGTCTTTTTCAGTAATTGCAAATATTGAATAAGGTATCAATAAATATCTACCAAATGAGTGACACTGGAGATGCTCAGGTATAAAAATAACACACACACACTCACATACATACACACACACACGCACATGCACACACAGAGAGAAAGAGAGACAGAGCAAGGGTGAGAATAACTTTTACATATTACAATAAATATAGACAAGCCTTGACCTCTAAATGTATAAAATATTCTATTGGTAAATAAAACAATTAGGAAAATGAAATTCTGGCCCAAGAGGAAAGACAAGCAGAAGAGTGATAAAAAATAATATTAATCCCATAAACTTGTATGGCTGCCATGAGGGGAAAGTTTTGCCCTGTTTCTTATGAAACCACAAGAAAGAAAATTGGCGGTTTTATTTTATTTTATAAATGATTCCATATGTCTATTATGATTAAGTCACTGATCTACGTATGTTACAAATATTAATTCATTTAAACTGTATACTATACTTTGAGATTGTTTTTAGCTACATTTTATATATGAGAAAATGGAGGCAGAGAGGTTTAAGATTCTTGTTTGTCAGCATACATCTAAAAAGTATTAGAACCAATACCGGAATTAGAAAATTAGATTCCAGCTTTTGCAAGCTTAACCACTAGCCTTCAATGCCTTATATAACTATCTAAACACAGAAATATTGAACTAAAAGGGCACAATAATGTAGGCACCACTTTACTGCTTATGTGATACACCATGGACATCAGTGTAACTTAACAACGTTAAGTATCTGTTTTGTTGACTAGTGAATTGGCATGCTGTCTCTGAGTAAACACACTGTGAGGACGTAATAAAGGGAAATGCAGACATGTTTTATTGTACATTGTTTTAGATTTGTTTCTTTGGTCTTTAGTAGTCTAACCAAATCAAAGATACTAAAGTACCAACAACTACTGTGAAATTATGTATGAATATATATATACTCATATATATGCATATATTATTCATATCCATATAAACATATATAGGTATGTATCACTTATCTATTAGATATAGAAATAAAACATATAGTGAACTAATTTAGAGAAAACAAATAACATATGAACAGAGATTTAACATAAATCTTAATCAAAAAGCACTAACCTTATACATATATTGACATTTGCCCCTTTGTATTTAATTTATGTTCAGAATTGCTGGGTAAAATTATTGAGAATAAGAATCTTTTATTGTATCACATGAACACACTTGCCTATCAGAATGTATAATTTTTTCTAGATCTATGGAAGCAATCAGAGAAGGCATAATCCTTCCTAAATTATATCTCATTTATTAGAAATAGGCATTTTTTATTCTTTCAAAGTATTTATAATTGGTTCATCATCTATATGTTCTTTAGTTTAAGAATAATGACTAGACTGGTCTCAATATAAGAACTACACATATCACTTTAATGTCTGTTATCAGGAGATATAGTTTGAGGACTTAGCAAAATACTTTGTGGTAGAGTTCATGAACTCACAGCACATTGTCTGGTACTGTTTGAAAACTTTTTGTGTAAGTGCTTTTCATGTATGCACTAGTGTGCATATGAGATAAAAAAGAGATTCATTACATTTAATCATTTTTAAGTTATCACTGTAGAGGAATATTTTGTACCAAATTCTGTAGCATTATTGCTTTAACTGGATTTTATGATTCAGGCTTCATCTTTTACCTGTTACAAAATATTTCCATGATTTGCCTAATTTCAAATCTTCCTTTAAATTTTAAATTAATTTTAAAACATTCGTCATCACAGAGAATTGTTTTTCAATTTATAATTAAAAATTTATATTTACCTTATTAAATAATGGCATTTATAATACTGTAACTATTGATTGTGTTACAATAACCATTTGCTGAACTAATTACTGGCGTACAGGAAACAATAAAATTAACTTTACTCTGACTTAATGTACTTGATACTATCTAAATAAAGATAATAAAAGTAGTATTATATAATTATTATTTAACTATTTTCTTAACACTAAAATGTCTCAAAATTGTGGATTTGATACTGCCTACTTATTTTCCTGATTAACTAAAGGGAATTAATATTTACTTTGCACTGCAAATGTGTCAGGACCTTCTAAGTGAGGCAAAAGTGAATTTGGGCCTGTTCTGGCAAGAGCACAAAATGTAATGTAATGAGGGCATAAGGGTTTGTAGGGAAGTTATAGAAAGATAAAACAAAGAACATTTTTTTAGGATGCTCTTGCAGTAGGTTTTAAGCAGCAGGGTAAGAAATCTGGGTTTAGTGAGGTCAGTGGTGAGAATCCATCAAGAACTTTTTAGCAGGGCAATAATAGGATTAGAACTGTGTTTTAAAAAGATAAAACTAAGAGCTGGACAGGGAATGAATTTGGAGCATGAGAAGATTAGAGGAATTAACCTGTCAGGAACTTTCGGTAGACCAAGGGTGAGTTAGAACAGTGGCAGATAAAAATGACACCTGATCATTGCATAATGCTTCCTAATTTGATTTCTTTCCCATTGTATCATTTGACTTGCATTGCACAGCAACCTCACTAAGAAGGAAAGGGCAGATTCCAAAAAATACATTGTATTATATTTCTAGAGTCTCAGAGAGTAAGTGAATTGTGTGTAAAGAATCAATAAACAGAAGCCTTTGTTTTGAACTTTAGATATTTTCAAAAGAAACAATATGTAAACAAATATTTAATAAATGCCAAATGATTGACAATGAGGGAGAGGAATATCAGTGTTGGAATGTCACAAAGACCCTTCTGCGAACTGGGAGAATGCTTACACTGAAAGAGAGAGTCACAGGAAGGAGTTTGTTTGGGGGTGGGGGAGGGAGAGATGATCACAGTTGTCCTTTCTTTGGTTTTCTATTTTGTTTTGTTTGTCAAGAACAAAACAAAAAAAATGCATTAGATTTGTCACACTTAGGACTCTACCTTAAATACTTTAGTCCCAGATTGCTAAATCACAAAATTTGTGGGGATATGTCAAGGGAAGCAAAGGCAAAATGATCGACTACACATGCAAAAAGATAATATCACAGCAGAAAAG
This sequence comes from Homo sapiens, assembly GCF_000001405.40. Lineage (NCBI taxonomy): Eukaryota > Metazoa > Chordata > Mammalia > Primates > Hominidae > Homo > Homo sapiens. The sequence goes on along the minus strand of NC_000005.10, from coordinate 18,986,614 downwards.
CTACTTGTAACATGTCTATTTTCATCACCTGATATGTTTCTCTCTCCCTGTCTCTCTCTTTCTATATATATATATGTACACACACGCACACACACAATTTCAAAAAGAGCATTGAAATGAAAATGTAATGGATATATTACACTGTCTGGGCCCACTGATGTGACGTACTAAAAGGCAAGACTTTAAGATCATGTCAGTGGTTGCCAGGGATGGTTATACAACCTCATATCTGTCTCAAAGCTGTACACACCTAAAATAAGTTGATTTTACTGTATGTGAATTGTACCCAACGTGAACCTAATTTGAATGAGAAACAGAATTTACTCCACTTATATTCCTTTTGGGGGAAAAACAAATTAAATTCAGGCATGTATATATAGAATGAATATATATATATATAATTTGGTTAAATTTCTAAATGTATATTTTTACAAATAAACGTGTGTGTGTGTGTGTGTGTGTGTGTGTATATATATATATATATTTAACCAAATTTAACCAAAATTGAATTACCTGTATATCGGCTTTCTATCTTCATGAAATGTAATTGGCATTGGTGGCCATCCTTCATTTTAGAAAAATAAACAGTTAGAATTCCCAAGAATCAGCCTAACAAGTTGTCGGAAATTAACAAGCCAAGCAAATTGTTCTGGGCAGAACATCTAAGAGAAAGTTGTTACTATAAAAGATCAATAAGTGACAAGATTCTTTTACTTACTGATTCATTAACCCAAAAATATTGATTAGCATATATAGGTCAGGAGTTGGTACCATATTCTAGGAGCTGGTATCAAAGATAAACACAGCCGGACATTAGTTAAATCAGTAAAAACGGATTTTATTCACTAACTACTAACAGTGGAGGAAAGAGCTGTGCTCATTCTGATGTTTGCAGGTAACTGGGAATTTTAAAGAAAGAATGAGGGAACGGGTGGGTAGGGACTCCAGCAGAGCCAGGAAGTAAAAATTTACAAAGGATTGGTCAGTGTAAACGCAATTAGGCCAGCTTTTCTGCTAGCTGGCTATTATAGAAGAAAGAGTTCTATTGTCCCACAGAGACTGGGATGCAGAGGCCCGTCCTCCTTGATGATTAATTACATTTCAAAGGAATGGCTTTCACGTCCTTAAAAAAGACACTTCTGAGTTATAGGTGATACATACATATCTCAAAGGGACAGAGAAAGTATTCATAAATGTAAGCTATTTTTAGTAATTGCTCTAAGGGAGGTCAGGGGCCTATCTCCTATGTTGGCCATAACAAGAAGTCTATGGCTATAACAAGCAGTCTATCTATTCTCCTGGCAGTGCTGATCATTTCTCAGGCAGGCATTTTAGTGGGGAGGTTGGGGTCATCCTAGGGACAGGAATTTATGCTGCTAGAAGCCATGCTAGAATTTGGTCATCTCTTAGTGCAGAGGTCTGGACTGAATTATTATGTGCGGAGAGTTCTACATTTCTCAATGGGTACACAGAAGAAAACAAGACAAAAACCTTGCCTTCATGAGGTTTGTATTCAAACAGGGCAGACTTATGATAAACTAATGGATTTATACATAACACAAAACCTGATAGTAAAAAAAAAACAAAACAAATTAGAGCATCAATTCAACTGGCATTCGCCCTCGTAATAAATTTTCAGGGTTTCTGAAACTCTGGGAAGTTTTCAACTTTTATTGGTGATTCATATCAAATTATTACCTTGCCCCAAGGCACAATAGTAATCTTTCTTTATAATGATGTTGAAGAAAATGATAGAAGCCTTCTGTTTACCTTGGGTCTGGATCAGCAACATCTTACTTTACATATTTACTTGTCATTCTCCAATCCCCTAGGGGTGGATTTTGCAATATTATATATGAAGCATTGTTCTCAGTGTTCTCGCATGGATTAGAACATTTTATTCCTAGCAACCAACCTTGATAGATGCCGTTATCGTCATCAACTGCAGTTGCCAGTGGAGACAACCGAAGCAGAGCTTTCTAAAGTGACTCCTCATGGAGGTCTTTTACCTCAAAGCTAGCTTGTAGCACCTGTGTCACATTTGATCCTAGGTAGACTGGACCCAGAGTCTACATACACTTACTCTCTATCTTTTCTTTATGTCATTAACAGGAAGGCTATATACCTTTAAGGCACACTTCACGGTGAACCTGCCTTGGATATGATTATAGAAAAATCAAAGAGCACTGCAGTTTGAGACGTGATCTTCATTCTTCTACTTAAAAGAAAAAATTCTCATGGAAATGGTTTGCAATACCTCTTCCATACCACAAAAAGTCAAACTGTTTCTTTTTCTTCTTTTGATAGTAAATAACACTGGACTTGTAGCATGGAAAAGAGATTACCTTTATTTTGCTAAGTTCCTGAGATTTGGGAGACTTTACTGCAGCCTGTGAAGATACAATAACGAATATGCTATCTCAGCATTAATAAAATAATAGCTAGTACCTTTAAAAAGAAAGCATTCTCATGCCAGGCCCTGTGCTGGGCTATTTATATACCTCTGCTCCCTAATGTTAAATAAGCAATATTAACACATTTATGTGGAATGGGAGCATCTTTATAACAACCATGTGCATTGCCTAGATAATTACACCAATTTTACAGTGTTGGAAACTAAAACTCATGAGAATTCTGTGCAGTGCCCAAGGGTCCCCAGCTAATGGTCTGTCTGACTTCAAAGTCTGTTCTCTTTTAAGCTACCATCTTGCCCCCTGGCTCACCTCACACTTTTAAAGCATCCTCTGCCTTTGCCTTCAACTTGTGACAAGTTTTGACTTCTTTTAGAGTGAACATTTCAAAGGAAAATAAATTGCTTGCACTGTGCCTCTGGGAAGTGACAAACTGTTACATTGAGAATAGCATCAGATATGGAAAAGATACAGGAAGTTCATTTAGGCAGTAACAATACCTTGGAAAGGAGAAGAGAATTACTGCTGGAGGTGACAGAAAAGTTGGTAATGAGTGTTTTCAGTTCCTAAAAGAGTGCAGAAGAAAATGACTCAATTTCATAATAAAGTCAAAAATTAAACATTTGTACCTGAAATTGATAATAAAACATTAATGTTGGTACATCAATTAAAACCTATTGAAAAAGTATACTTCATGACCATAAATTTATTTGTAATATGAGAAAAAGTACATAAAAAGTATCATAGATTCATTTCAAAATGCAAATTCTATTCGTTAGTCTTCATTTACGATTGTATGAGCATATTCACATGGCGGCAGGCTGGGTAGTGGCCTCAAAGGTATATTGACATCCTAAATATCAGAATTTATAAATATTACCATATATGGGAAGAGTTAATATTATCTTCCCAATGGGAAAAGATAAGTTAAGAATCTTGAGTTGTTTATTCTGGGTTATCAGTATGGGTCCTAAGTGAAATCATGTGTAGTCTAACAAGAGAGAAACAGAGGAAATTTTGGTACAGGTACACACATAAAGGAAAGTGATGTGAAGATAGAGGCAAAGATTGCAGTGATAAGGCAATAAACCCAGGAAGGCCGGTAGCTACCAGAAGCTAGAAGAGGCAAAAGATGGATTCTCCCTTAGATACTCCAGAAAGAATACAGTCCTACAATACCTTGATTTTTCAGTCTGGCCTCCGGAAATGTGAAAGGATAGATTTCTGTGTTTTTAAGCCACCAATCTGTGATAATTTTTTACAGCAGCCATCGGACTTTCATATAGCTTTTGGCAACAGGAAATGAAGTGCTGCTATAACAAACACTTAAAAATATGGAGATGGCTTTCACATTGGCAATGGGGAGAGACTGGAATAATTCTGAGATGCATGATAGCTGTAGGGAATTAATACATGTTGTTAACCAAAAGAAGTATACATGTCTCAGTACCATGCTGTTTTGGTTACTGTAACCTTGTAGTATAGTTTGAAGTCAGGTAATGTGATGTTTCCAGATTTTTTCTTTTTGCTTACGATTGTCTTGGCTATTTTGTCTCATTGTTGGTTTCATATGAATTTTAAAATAGTTTTTTCTAGTCCTGTGTAACAGGCTCACAGACAAATGGAAAAAATAGGGAGCCCAGAAATAAGGCCACACATCTACAATCATCTGACCTTCAACAAAGATGACGTAAAGAAGCAATAGAGAAAAGACTCCCTATTCAAGCAATGCTGCAGGGATAACTGTCTAACTATATGCAGAAGATTAAAGGTGGACCACTTCCTTACACCAGACGCAAAAATCAATTCACAATGGATTAAAGAATTACATGTAAAACCCCAAACTATAAAAACCCTGGATGACAACCTAGGCAAAACCTTCCTGGACATAGGAAATGGCAAAAATTTCATGACAAAGACACTATAAGCAATTACAACAAAAGCAAAAATTGACAAGTGGGATCTAATTAAACTTAAGAGCTTCTGCACAGTAAAATAAACTATCAACAGAGTAAACAATCTACAGAATAGGAGCAAATATTTGCAAACTATGCATCTGATAAAGTTCTAACATTCAACATATATAAGAAACTTAAATTTACAAGAGAAAGCCAACCCCATTAAAAAGTGAGCAAAGGACATAAACAAGCACTTCTCAGAAGAAGACATACATCGGGCCAACAAGCCTACGAAAAAAAGCTCAGTATCACTGATCATTAGAGAATTACAAATAAAAACTATAATGAGATACCATCTCACACCAGTAAGAATGGCTATTATTTAAAAGTCACAAAAATAACAGATGCTGGTGATGTTGAAGAGAAAGGGGAACACTTATACACTGTTGGTGGGAGTGTAAATTAGTTCAACCATTGTGCAAAGAAGTATGGTGATTCCTAAAAGAGCTAAAAGCAGAACTGCATTCAACCCATCAATCTCATTACCTGGTATATACTCAGAAAATATAAAGCATTCTACCATAAAAACACATGCACACAGGTGTTGATTGCGGCACTATTGACAATAGCAAAGACATGGCATCAACCTAAATGCCCATCAATGACCGATTGGACAAATAAAATGTGGTGCATATACCCCATGAAATATTATGCTGCCATAAAAACCAATGAGATAATGTCATTTGTGGGAACATGGATGGAGCTGGAGGCTATCATCCTTAGCAAATGAATGCAAGAACATAAAACCTAATACCACATGTTTTCACTTATAAGTGGGAGCTAAATGATAAGAACACGAAGGAAGCAACAGATACTGGGCTCTACTTGAGGATGGAGGGTAGTGGGAAGGAAAGGAGCAGAAAAGATACCTATTGAGTACTGGACTTAAGACGTGGGTGATGAAATAATATGTTCAACAATCCACCATGACACATATTTACATATGTAAATATACATGTACCCCCAAACCTAAAATAAAAGTTAAAAAAGAAAGAAGTGTACAGTCATCAACATTCACTCCAATTACTGCTGCTTTATAAAAGAATATTATAGGTTACAATGAGTTAGCAAAAATTTTGGGACAAAAGCAATCTACATGGAGCAAGTGAATGAACCAAATCATTCATTCATATCAACCATTCTCGTAATGACTGCATAGTATTCAGCCACTTTCTCATTACAACCTAGCCTAACCAATATAATTTGCATACACACTTGTTTTTTGCCTAGAATTTTCCAATCATTTCCTTAATCTAAGTTCCTAGGTTAAATGCATTCATTATTTTATGTTTTCAAAGGTTTTTGTATCTACTTGTACATTTTCTTTCTTTATTTTTATTTTTTTATTTTAGATTTAGGGGGTATATGTCCAAGTTTGTTACATGGACATTTTGCATAATGGTGATGTTTGGGCTTCTAGTGAACTTATCACTCAAATAGTGAACATTGTACCCTATAGGCAATTATTTTCACCCTAACCCTACTCCCATCCTCCCATTTAAGAAAGTCTGTAATGCTACTATAAAAAAGTCAAAAGATAACAAGTATCAATGAAGATGAGAATAAAGAACCCTTATACCTTGTTGGTGGAAATGCAAATTGGTATAGTCATTAAGAAAAACAGTATGGAGGTTCATATTAAAATTAAAAATAGAATTACCACATGATCCAGCAATCCCATTCTGGCTATATATCCAAAGTATATAGAATTGCTGTCTTACAGAGATATCTGCATTCCCATGTTCACGGCCATGTTATTCACAATAGCCAAGGTATGGAAACAAACAATCTAAGTGTCTGTTGACAGAAAAATGGATAAAGAAAATGTGATATGTATGTACCATCAATCTAAATGAGAGACTGATACAGGAATCTCAACCTAATGAGGTTTATTAAGATGGAGCTTGAGGATGCGCACCCAGGAAGCCAAGATTACAGTAGCCTGTGTCGATTACATGAAACACAATACTTATATAGTTTTTGTTTTTTAGCAAAGGGATAAGTACAATACACAATACAGAGGATGGGCAGCAAAGCACATGTTACATTTTTGCAAATTTGATTAGTGTCCAGTGATATTTATACATAGAACAAATATGTGGTTGAGTGGGTAGGAGGAAAAGATTAATAATTGTGTAGGCATCTTAAGAGTCTGGTGGGAGGATAATTGATTTCATTCTACCTTGTTCTACATTCAATAAACAAGGTTAATACCAGTACTTGTCAATGAAATATTTAACATACTTCAATTACATAGGCAAGGGGTCAGCTTTTGCTTATAGACCCTGAGGTTACAGCTTTCTATTTATGGGAGATTACAGCATGCAATCCTAGCTACCATAGCTGCCTTTGCACCTCTGCACATCCCTGGGCCAGAACTGAGATTTAGAACAGGCCTGGGTTGATTAGTTCTACTTTCTCTTTTATGTCTTTTCACAATACAATGGAATATTATTCAGCCTTCAGAAAGAAGGAAATCTTGCCATTCGTGATACCACGGATGAACGTGGAGATCATTAAGCTAAGTGAAATAAGCCAGACACAGAAAAACAAATACTGAATTATCTCCCTTATATGAGGAATGTAAAAAATTTCAACACATACCAACAGAGAGTAGAAGGGTGTTTATCACAGGTGGGGGAGGACTTGGGAAAAGGGGAGATGCTGGTCAAAGGGTACCAAATTTCAGTTATAAGATGAATAAATTCTGGATACTGAATGTACAGCCTGGTGACTACACATTAGTCTCTTCTTATCCATGGTTTTCCTGTCTGCAGTTTCAGTCGCCTGTAGTCAACTGTAGTCAGAAAATAGGTGAGTACAGTGCAAAAAAGGATTTTGAAAGAGAGAGACTACATTCACATAACTTTTATTATAGCATATAATTGTTCTATTTTATGATTATACTGTTTTTAATGTCATAGTCTCCCTAATTTATAAATTAAACTTTGTCACAGGTATACATATATAAGAAAAAAACCTAGCATGGTTAGGATTCAGTACTCTCCGTGGTTTCAAGCATGCACCAAGTGTCTTGGACCATATTGCCAGTGGATAAAGAGGGACTACTATAGTTAACAGCATTGTGTTATACTCTTGATGTTTCCTAAGATATCAAATCTCCACATTCTCACAAAGAAAGGTAATGATGTGAGATAATGGATGTGCTAATTAGCTCGACTGTGGTAATCATTTCACAATGTACCTGTCTATCAAAATATCATGCTGCATACCGTAAATAAATACAGTGTTTATTTGCCAATTATACCTCAATAAAGCTGAAGAAAAAGGAAAAAAAAAATGTTTCTACCAATTATTTCCTACAGCAACAAAAGAGAATGACCTTTCCTCATATATTCCACCCTAAACGGTGAAGGAGCAGCATTACTCTTTAGATTTCTGCCAATCTGCAGACAATATTATTTTGTAATGAATTAAGCTTATTAGAAACAGGACTGAAATCATTTTAAATGCTTGACATTTTCGTTTTTTCTCAAGTAGATTGTCTATCATATCTTTAGACACACTGGAAAAAGAAGTGTTTAATGATTTGGCAGCTTTGTTCATAATACAGTTATTTCACCCTTCTCTGTTTTACAGAACAATTGCAAATATTGTTCTAGATTGATAACAGTGTTTCTCATTTTTAACTTCAATATTTAGTTCACAAGAATATGTCATTTTTTGCTCTCAACTGTCAGCCTTGGACTTCACAATTCTTACCCTTAAGAGTAGTGTTTATGAAGTGGTTTAACACAAATTAGCTAGCAATTTTAAATAGAAATTTTAACTTGCACATGGTTTTATTTTCTAGATTTTAGAAACAACTTATACTATAGTTATGTTAATTGAGATATAAATCAAGCCAGTAATTTTGAAGTTAATAGTCATTTTTTCTCAAACTTTTATAAATAATGCATACATTCCTTCTTGACAAGTACTATAATTATAATAATTGCTATGGTTTAAATATTCACTCCAAAACTCATGTTGAAATTTAGTTGATTATAAGTATTAAGAGGACCTTTAAGAGGTAAGCAGGCCATGGGGACTCTCATGAGGCCTTTGCCAGATGACAGCATTTTGATCTTGGACTTCCCAGATTCCAGAACTATGAGAAAATGAATGTCTGTCCTTATATATTACCCAGTCTCAGGTATTCTGTTACATCAGCAAAAAACAAACCAAGACAATCAAATCTTACACGCTTGATTTCTTTTCTGTATGTTCTATTCTAATGTATTAATTTATGCATCTTTTTGTTTTTGCTTACACTTGATTTTTATATGGACTCTAAAAATTTGCTATTGTCTGTTATAGCTCCAGTTATTACCTGTCTTCCAAATTTTAAAAAATTATTTATATATTTTCCTATCTTCTCTAGATCATTCTATTATTGAAATTTTCATATCAAACACACATTTTTGCTTACAGAAATTCAAGAGAGTATGAGATTTTTTTAAAAACAAAACTTCATATTGTGTTCAGATTTCACTAGTTTTTTAACTTTTTTTGGTTTTGTTTTTGGTTTTGTTTTTTACTGTTCCTGAAACCCATTAAGGATACCATATTGCAACTAGTTGTCATGTCTCCTTATTTTCTTGGTCTGTAAGAATCTCTGTCTTTGTTTCTCATGACAATGTCACTTTTAAAAATTACAAGTCAGGTATTTTGTAGGATATCCCTCAATTTGTATTTAAATGATTTTTCATTCCTCAATAATAGACGTAGGTTATAGGTTTCAGAAAAGAGTATCACAGAGGTGAAGTCTTCTCTTATTACATTTTTTCAGGAGTTACCTGATATCTACATGGCATCAACAGTCATTTTAACTTTGGTCATTAGATTAAGAGAGTGTTTGGCAAGTTCCTTCACTTTACATTTACTGTTTTCCTTCTTATATCCAGGCTGTTCTTTGGCCTAGAGTTACTTAGTCCAGTTTACCCCAAGGAAAGTATGGGGAAATCATGTTTCTCTCTTGGTAGAGGAGAATGTCTGTATATGGCTATTTTATTTGGGATATTCTGTAAAAAATAGTTTTCTCTTCTTTACCTATTCAATATTTTATTTTCTCGATATGGGTTATTGTATATTTATTTTATATTTTGGATTATATTGATTACTCTGTTATTTATTTTTTTGCTTAAATCATTTTAGCTAAAACTTTTGCATGTCTTTCAGATATTTAGAAACCAAGATCTGGGTACGTGGTGTGTTTGTTGCTACTGGAATGTCATTTCTTATAGACAATAATTTATTAATATATATTAACTCATGTATACACACAGAGTAGAAAGAAAAATGATATCTCAAAATTTTCCACATTCTAACTGCCAGAGTCTTGAACTTGTTATGTTGTAAGTCTAGGAGGGATTAAGGTTGTACACAGAATTGGGGCTGCTGATTACCTGATTGTGAGATGAGGAGATTAACCTGAATTATCCGGGTGAGCCCTGTATAATCACACGGATCCCCATAAGGGAGAGAGGGAAGCAAGAAAGTCAGTGTCAGAGTGATGTAGTGTGAGAAAAACTCCAGCTATCATTGCTGGCTTTGAAGATGAAAAAGAGACCGTGTGCCAAGGAACGTAAGGAGACTCTAGAAGCTAGAAAATGAAAGACGATCCTACTCCAATGCCTCCAGAAGGAACACAGTCTTAATGACACCTTAGTTTTAGCACTACAAAACCAATTTACAACCTCTGATCTTTCAGGACTTTAGGACAAAAAGTTTGTGTTGTTTTAAGCTACTAAGTTTGTGGTGTTTGCCACGTTAGCAATAGGAAACTGTTATATATATATACGTATATATATATGTATATACGTATATATATATGTATATATGTATATATGTGTATATATATGTATATATGTATATATGTATATATATACACACACACACACATACATATATATATATATATATATAAAATTGTGTTTTTACCTGTCTAATTATACTACTACTAAGCTAAATGTGAACTCATACGGATGCCTCCAACTTAAATTCAGTATGATGGGGTTTATTCCAACCTTCCCTTATTGATTATAACCTTCTTTTCTGATAATAAGAATTCTGGCTCCCACAATCTACCATCCATTTATTTATTTGTTTAAATCTTATATTAATTTAACAAAGTTTTAAAATTTGTAACCTGTATCTCTATGAGAAAAAAATATATATCAACTAGAGTACAGCACTTATGTTCAGTTTGTTTGTCATTAGCCTTATGGTTTCTAGCGAAAACAGCATTTTCCATAGTTACATAGGTCATTTCCTCACACATGAGTTTTTACCTTCCACTCTTTAGTCTTCTTATCTGATACATTTATAAAAGAATTTGTATTATCCCTCAACCTTCTGGTCGAGTTTCTGTGTACATGATTGTGGTTTGTTTGGGTATTCTGTTTTCGTTTTTGGTTTGCACACATGAAAATTTCCTCTTTGTTATGTACAAATCAATGGGTTTTCACAAATGCACAGTCATGTATCCACAATCCCAACACCGCATAACAGTTCCTCCAACTTAAAAAGTTTTTTTCATCCTTTGTGGTCAACCATTCCCCATACCCATCTACTGAAAACCACAAATTTGTTTTTCATTCGTAGAGTTTTGCCTTTTCCAGAATATACTATGAATGGAATCATACAATACATAACGTTTTGGTCCTGACTTCTTTCCCTCAGTAAAATACATTAAAGATTCGTCTATGTTGTTGTGTGTATCACTAATTAATTTCTATTTATACATACATAGTATTCCATTGCATGGATATATTGCAGTTTGTTCATTTCTGTGATGAAGGATATCCTGGTTGCTTCTAGTTTTTAGTGATTATGAATAAAGAAGCTCTCAACATCCCACAGGATGGTCCTTGGATGGCCTTTGCTGACCCAGATTTTTCCCCTTTTTTTGCCCGTAGTACTCAGAAAAATTGCAGAAGGCAACATCCTGAGATAGGAAATAAAAAACAAAACAAAGCAAAACAAAAAATCCTGTCCAAAATAGCCTAGGCTTTGGTTCTTTCATTCTTAGGAAATGCAACTTCTTGAGACAGCAAACTGCTCAGGCCAGCCCAGGCATTGCTATTGTCCCTCCTAGAGCAAAATCTTCTACAATGCTTTATTCCAGAGATTCTCATTTCCCTTGGGGCATCAAACCCAGAGTGGACTGGTTTTGGGGTTTCTCAGCTGCAGTGCAAGTGGGGCATGATCAAACAAAATTCCATCCACCCTGGCCAGCTTTTCTGAGCCTTAGGAGACGGGCTGGTTATGAATCCTAGGCTTCCATTGTCCCTTGCTGCTTATCTGTAAGTAATAATCCTGCTTTATGCAACTTGTGATGTGTGTGAGTATTCTGTATCACCAGACTCAGGAAAATAGTAAAAGTACAGCTAAAGACGCAGTGGGCTGAAGTGTATGTATGGACTCCTTTTTCTGGTAGTTAGCAGGTGATGCACTTTGCTATCCTCGATGCGGTGGAAGTTCCTTATTGTAATTGGTAATAAGTGAACCTGTTTCACAAATCCATGTACATATTTTGGCATAAGCATATGTATTTAATTCACTTGGTAAATAACTACGAATGAGATTACGGTTTTCTATGGTATATTTATATTTCTCTTTATAAGAAAATGCCAAACTGTCTTCTAAACTGACTATAGTATTTTGAATTTGCATCCATAATGAATGAGTGTTCCTGTTCCATAACCTTACTGGGATTGCTTATAGTCAATTATCTGTATTTTAGCCACTCTGGCTGGTGAGCAGGAGTAGATTGCTATGCTTTTAATGTGGATTTCCCAGATAGCAAATAATGTTGAGCATCTTTTTTATCGGTTTATTCATTATCCATATATCTTCTTTGAGAATTTTTTCTGTTCAAGTCTTTTGCTCATTTGTTTAATTGGGTTGCTTGTTTTCTTATTGTCGGGTTTTAAGAGTACTTGGTATATTTTGGATATAAGTCCTTTTTCAGATATGTAATGGAAAAATAATTTCTCCTAAATCTTGTCTTTTTATTCTTTTAATAGTGTCTTCTTCAGAGTAAAAGTTTTACTTTTGTTGAAGTCCTCCAATTTATCACTTTATTTATGGATTATATTTTTAATGTATTTCAAAAACTGTTAAACCAAAGATCACACAGATGTTCTCTCTCTCTCTCTCTATCTCTCTCTCACACACACACACACACACATATTTTAGAGACAGGCAGGGTCTCCCCCTTTTGCCCAGGTGGGGATGTGGTGGTGCAGTCATAGTTCACTGCAACCTTGAACAACTGGGCTCAAGAAATCCTCTCACCTCAACCTCCGAAGAAGCTGAGACTACAGGTGTGCACCACTGCACTCAGCTTTTCTTTTTAATTTTTAGTAATGATGAGGTCTCACTATTTTGCCCAGGCTGGTCCAAAATTCCTGTCCTCAAACGATCCTCCAGCCTCAGCCTCTCAAAGTGCTGGAATTACAGGTGTCACCCACTGCGCCTAGCCCTGTACATTTTTGTTATAGCTTTACATTTTATATTTAATTATGTTATCCATTTCTAGTTAATGTTAATAAGATGTGACTCATGTGTTGCAGTGCATATTTTTACATATGGACATCTAATTGTTCCAGTGTGCTGGGACCCAATTGTTAGGTGTAGATTGTGAATAGATACCACTTATTTGATTAATGAATCTTTCTTCTATCTCTATTTCTATGTTGCTGGCAGATTTTAGCATAAATAGATGTTAAATTTTATAGAGTTTTCTGCATGTTTATTTTTATTTTTATTTTTATAGATTTGGGGGTACAAGCACAGTTTTTTTTACATGGCTGTATTACATAGTGACATCTGTGCTTTTAGTGTAACCATCACTCAAATGGTGTACATTGTATCCAATAGGTGATTGGTCATCCCTGACCTCTCTCCCACCATCCTACCTTTCTGAGTCTCCAATGTCTATTATTCCACTTCCTATTTTCATGTGTACATATGATTTAGCTCCTACTTATAAGTGAGAATATCTAGTATTTGACTTTCTGTTTTTCAGTTATTCCACTTAAAATAATGAACTCCAGTTTGTCCATGTTGCTGCAAAAAGTATGATTTCATTCTTTTTATTGCTGAATAGCTTTCCATGGTGTACACATATACCACATTTTTAAAATTCCAGTTCTTCATTGGTGGACACTTAGATTGATTCCATATCTCTCCTATTGTGAGTAGTGCTGAGATAATAATGCAGGTATCAAGGACGATTGCAGGAGAGTCAGTTGATTTTGATTAAAAAAAAAAGACACAAGAGGAATGGTTTACCTTGCTTCATTGTATATAAATGTGGTTTGGGAAGTAGCTGTCTTGCAAGAGACTGCACCTCCTAGCCCCATTTCAGTGTGAATAGGATTATATGACCACTCCTTGAATGAAAAAGATGAACGTTCACTTTGAGGCTGAAGTGGTTAAAAAATGTTCCTTTGCGTTTTGTCTGGTCCTTCTGGAAGCTGAATATTTATACCAAGTCAACTTTGAAAATCATGTACTAAGCTGACAGGGCATCCTTCAGCTTAGCTCCCTACATAAATTTGAAAAGCAGAAATTATTTACCCTCATATTAATCTAAAACATTTACTTTGAATTTTTAAAATAATAATAAATTCATGTATAAATGTTAATCCACTGAAAATTTGGACTTGGTAATAGCTATCTGTGTTATTTTTCCTAACATAGAAATTGTTATCAGAAGTGCTTACCACTACACACAGCAGGTGACAAAGACATATTTATCAAAGGCTTGGGAAATGAATACCCTTGTTGTGCAACTGGTAGAACTGTTTCCTGCGATAATTCAGAAGACAGATGTAGTTTTCACAGTGCCTGTAGCTAGGGAAGCATTGGAAACACAATGTTAGTAGAATGCTGATTGTTACTTGCTGCATTCTGAAAGCTTTTGCATTCTGTTCTGCTAAAACGTGTTTATTTTATGCAAATTCTCTCCTATACACATGGTGAATAGGGGGTGATGTTAATATAATGCAGGAAATATGCTGGATTTTTTTTTTATTTTATAGCGTGTTGATATTTTGAACCACTTAGTGATAGCAACCGGCTGCGCAGTATATTAATAATGATGAATACAACAGAGAAATGCAAAGTGGTACATGATAATCCTTCAGGCTTCTTTCTTCCTCTTCACTCAGTTTGGCATCTGGTCTGTACTGAAAGTACTTCTCACAGGGAACTGGAGATCTTGGTGTTTTGTGTCACACTCTGCTACCTCATTACTTCCTTGGACCCATTTCCATCAAACTATCTTTACTGACAATTTTAAGATGAACTTCTACATTTACCAAAGTAAATAGCTGTCTTCATTCCAACTTTAAAATACATATTTGCTTTGCTTTTGTTAAGGAATTTTAAAATTATTATTGTAACTGCTTTGATTATAGAGCCACATCCATTTCTATTGACCTGATGCTGCATTTTATTTCTCATCTGACTCAATTTTGGGAATCATAAAGTTTTTCATAAATATATTATATTGCATTTCAACTGAAATATCTATAGAAGAAAGAGGAAAACTCAAGAAATAATTGTTTGATTCAAGAGTGGACTTGAAATGAGCTAGAAAGATTTCAAAGTTTGAAAACTGAAAGGTTTGAAAAGGCAAACCTTGTAGATCCCAAACAGTCTGAGCTAAGATTCTAAAAACACCTTTGAGCAATAAAGTTCTATTGAGCATTCCCAGTCATCTATAAGAATTTATCCCTGTCCAAAGTTGAAACTAAGTTTACTGCTTTTCCATACAACCTTTTTTTGTTTTTTTTTTGGGGTTTTTTTTTTTTTTGAGTTTTTGTTTTGCTTTGTTTTTAGGCTTCAAATTAGCTTTCACTAACTTAAGAATGTAAGGTATTGGAGCAAGGTGGCAAATACATCAGTTCTAATTATTATATTAAAGAAATATATTTGGATATGGTTAAAGACACACGAAACAGATGAGAAACAAATGAATACGATCCCCATGCATATAAATTACATATTGCCAGTGAAATATCTTACTTAAAATCATCATTTACTGTGGAAGTATTTAAATAATGTACAGGTCCTCAAATTGAGTAAGTAGAAATTAGTCTCTGAAAGCTTACCTTGGTAATTCTCACTTGAGATATGGTTATGGGAAATAATCTACAAGAAAGTTGTCCGTGCTGGGATACAGGAGCCATGAACAACAATGAATAGTGGGGTTTCTCCCAGTTAGCAGAATTAAGAGATCGTGGTGATTATAGTTAATACCAATATATTTACCTTTCTGGGGTGTATGTTAAAAAAAGAACTAACAATAGATTGCATATTTAACAAGTGCTAACAAGTAGAATTTACGTGTACTTACCATAAGGAAAATAAATGTGTGAGGTAATGGATAGGTTAGTTAGTTTGATTTAGCCATTCATAATGTATACATATTTGGAAAGGCTGTTGTACATTATAAATATATACAATTAGTATGGGTCAATTAAATAAATAAATAAGACTTTTTTCCTCTTCAGGAGAGAGGGTTTTACTGTGTGATCCATAGATGGATTCGTAGATGAAAAAGTTTATATGTCTGCCATGTTTCTCTTTTTGATTCAAAATTTTCACTTTCTCCTTTTGCCTTCTTGTGGGACATGTGTTTTAGTTCAAAGTTTACTGGATCACAGAAAAACTCCTCAGAAACTGACAGATGTGTCTGGAGAGCCTAGAACGTGTGCACGATGAAGGCACTGGACAGGATTTTGAGCGAGCTTGAGTCTGTTCTAGGCACAAAAAGAAAGGGATGTTAGGATCATTTTCAAAAGGAGAGAAGATGATGGCATAATCTGACTATCAAAAATTGCAGACTCCTTTCCATAGATTATATATGTTGCTTTGCTTAGAAATGGCTAATCATCTAGGAACTACTTTTTCCCAGCCCCTACTTTCGCCTCCTCACAGCCCTGCACGGAGGTGGAGCTAAATGACTGGTTTGCTGTAATGAAATTTAGCCAGAAGTGATGTGTTTCATGCCTAAGCGGAAACTGATGAGAGGTAGACTTGCCCCCTCTGCCCTCACCTCACTGCTTGATCGGCTGAGTGTTCATGCATAAAACCATCTTGTAGGTCAAGTGCTAAAGATGGCAGTTTCCAGAGCAGAATTCACCATCTTCCCTCTTTGCTGAAACCCAGAGAACCTAGTAGCATCGAAAGCAGGCAATGATTAAATTGTTGTATTAAGGCACTTAAATGTAGAGATTTTTTTTACAGCAGCTAGCATTATACTAACTAACATAATGATGACACCTGACAGGTTGGTTTCCTTTTTCCTTTATATAATGGCAGTAATCTATGCAATACATTTAGACTACTCCTATCAAATAATAATTTTAGGCTAACCCCAAATAAAACAGGTATTTAAATCAGAGTAATAGGACATTCTGAAGCAAATGCTATGGAATAGTATATATGTATTCATATGTGTATGTGTGAGATAGAGCTATCTTATTATTCTGTATTGTATTTCAAATTGGCACTCAGGCAAAAGTTTCATTATGTGTACTTAATCAGAAGTATTTGGTTGACAACTGAGATGGGTTAAAAAATGACTGTAACTTTGGAACAAGGGAAGCATACATATCTGAGGCCACTTTGTAACTGATAACAGCTATTAGAATTATATTTGGTCCTCAAGACTTAGAACTTTATAAAATTACTGAATATTTAACAGTTATTTTAAAAGAAGCACAATCGGTCAGAAAAACCCAGTGATTGGACATTGATCTTTTGAATATTTCTAATCTAGGAACTATCTATGCAAAAGATGCAAGCAAAATTATTACATGGGTCACAATATGGACTTACTTCATTTTTAATAAGAAGTTTACAAAACAAACCATCAATGCCCTTATCTGTGTGTATATATGTCTGTGTATACACACAAGTATGTTCAGTCATTTGTCCCATAAAGACGTTTTGGTCAGTGATGGACTATGTATACAAAGATGGTCTCATAAGAATGTAATGGAGAAAAATTCCTTCTGCCTAGTAAGGTGATAGCCATCACAACATGGTAGTCATCACAATGTTGTAGCACAACTCATTACTCACATGTTTGTGGTGATGCTTTTGTAAACAGACGTGCTGTGCTGCCAGCTTCATAAAAGTATAGTACAGGCCGGGCACAGTGACTCACGCCTGTAATCCCAGCAATTTAGGAGGCCGAAGTGGGCAGATCACAAGGTAAGGAGTTGAGGACCAGCCTGACCAACATGGTGAAACCCCGTCTCTACTAAAAATACAAAACTTAACTGGGTGTGGTGGCACACGCCTATAGACCCAGCTACTTGGGAGGCTGAGGCAGAAGAATTGCTTGAACCCGGGAGGTGGAGGTTGCAACGAGCTGAGGTTGCACCACTGCACTACAGCCAGGGCAACAGAGCAAGACTCCATCTCAAAAAAAAACAAAGTACAGACTGGGCACAGTGGCTCACGCCTGTAATCCCAGCACTTTGTGAGGCCAAGATGGGTGAATCATGAGGTCAGGAGTTCAAGATCAGCCTGGCCAAAATGGTGAAACCTCATCTCTACTAAAAATACAAAAAACTAGCTGGGCGTGGTGGTACACACCTGTAATCCCAGCTACTTGGGAGGCTGAGGCAGAGAATTGCTTGAACCCTGGAGATGGAGGTTGCAGTGAGCCAAGATCATGCCACTGCACGCCAGCCTGGGTGACAGAGTGAGACTCCATCACACACACACACAAAAAATTTATAGTACATACAATTATGTACAGTATATAATACTCAATATTAAAAATAAACAACTATGTTACTGGCTTATGTATTTACTATATTACATCTTTAATATTTTAGAGTACTCCTTCAACTTTTTTTTTTTTTTAAAAAGCTAACTGTATAACAGCCTCAGGCAGATCCTTTAGGCGGTATTCCAAAAGAAGACATTGTTATCGTGGGAGATGACAGCTCCATACATGTTATTGGCCCTGAAAACCTTCTACTTGGACAAGATGTGGAGGTGAAAGACAGTTATATTGATGATCCTGACCTTGTGTAGACGTAGTTTCATGTGTATGTTTGCATCTTAATTTTTAATCAAAAAGTTTCAAAAGTAAAAAATTAAATAGAAAATACCTTATTAAATAAGTTTATAAATAAATAAAATATTTTTGTACAAGAGTACAACATTTATGTTTTAAGCTATGCCGTAGACTCAAAAGGTTAAAAAAGTAGAAAACTTATAAAGCAAAAAATACAATAAGCTACAGTTAATTTATTGTGAAAAAAGAAAAAATATAAATTTACTATAGCATAGTATACAGGGTTAATAAAATCTACAGTAGTGTACAGTAATGTCCTAGGCCTTCAGATTCACTCACTGCCCACTCACTGACTCACCCAGAGCAATTTCCTTCTGGTCTTTCAAGTTCAATTCATGGTAAGTGACCTGTACAGGTGCACCATTTCTTATTTCTTAGACCATATTTTTACCATAACTATTTTATATTTAGCTATGTTCAGATCCACAAATACCATTAATTCATATCTGCCTCTAGTATTGAGTACAGTAACCTACTGTACAAGTTTGTAACCTAGGAGCTGTAGGTTATCTCACATAGCCCAGGTGTATAGTAGGCTATATCATATAGGTTTTTGTATGTAGCCTCTGTGATGTTTATATGATGACAAAATCACCTAATAATGCACTTCTCAGAATGCATCCTCACTGTTAAGTGATGCATGACTGTATATATACAGCTGTTTTTCTGTAAATTGAAAAAAATCACTTCACCTTCGATATTTTAAAAATATTTTTGGTTTCACAGATTTATGTAGAAATACTGGGCACAAACATTTATATATGTTGCTTTTTGTATGAATTGTAAGAGTTCGAAAACCATATAGAATGATATAGAATTAGCTAGATAGCTACTAAATTGGATACAAAATAAAATGTTCAGGGTTTTTTTGTCTAAAGAAGATTCATTTACACACAAAAATAATATTAATTGGTTCTTATTATGCAGGCTCTGGTTAAAATGTTTCTATGAAACCAAGCATTTGCAACTAATCTCACAGTTAAAATCTGAAAATTTTTAAAAATTTATTTCTGAGACTGTAATAAATAAAGTTTGATGTGCTAATTTATGGGCATTTAATCAACTGAAATTTGAAATGTCACTTTTCAATCACTCACACTAATCTTATATAAATATAACTGAAACAAACACTTAAATTTGATTTTACTTTCTTGCATCTCATTCCTTGCTTGCCATTTGATTGACAGGCAATCAACAGCTGTTCTTGTAACTTTTTTATTGAATACATGTTTGTGGTTTTAAAAATTTATTTATTTTGCATGGTGTCTAATTTGGATCACTCTGTGGAAAATGGAGTCAGCGATAGACGTTTTATATCTTTTTAGTTTATAACAGTCATGGGCATACTCTCTGTTGACTGTTATGGCAGGAAAAAAAACCTAAAATTTCAATATAATTAAATTTATTTCTTTTTTTCCAAGTGTAATGTGACTGTATTAGGAATATACTGTGTAAGTCCAAGAAGAGTTAGAATATCGAATCAATGGACCCTGCCATCACCTTCTTACTGTCTACTATGGGAAATGTTAATCTATTTATTTATATTTATTTATATAACAGTGGCAGCGGGTAGTGTGCCACACTATACAACCGTACCAGTGAACATCTTCACACATTTCCATGTGGTGGTCAATGAATAATGCTTTTCCTTCTCTCCCTATCATCCTGTAGAGTATCCATCTCTTTCTTTCTCAGCACAATCACAGTATAAAGCTTAGGCAGTAAACATATTTTTTCAAAATGGAAGCTCCACAATTTTACATAAATTCCACACTAAGTTGCTCAAAACATGTCTTTACTTTCAAAATGACTACAAATAATGTGTATTATTTTTTTAAGGCTGCCATAACAAAACCCCATAGATTGAGTAGTTAAAACAACAGAAATGTATTTTCTCATAGTGATGGAGGCTGACATGATGTAACAGTCAGAAAAGAAGACTTGACAATCAAATGAAACATATGAAGATGCTAGGTTGCTGGCTTTGAAGATGGAAGAAAGGACCGCAAGGCAAGGCTGCAGGCAACCCCTAGAAACTGAAAAATGAAAGGCAGCTGTTTGTCGACTTTCACCTCCAGAAGGAACGCAGCCCTCCCTGACACAGAGTAGAGGATTTCTGACCTCTAGAACTGTAAAATAATAAATTTGTTGGTTTAGACCACTAAATTTGTACTATTTTTCTAAGCAGTAATTAGAGACTGGTAAAAATTGTAGTACTTGAAAATGTGATGCTGCTATAACAAATAAAAATTTGAAATTGGCTTTAGGATTGGGTAAAGGGTAGAAGCACAGGATATTTCAAGGAGCATGATAGAAAGAGCCTTGAACAAATTGCTTGTAAAAATACGGATATTGGGCGCAGTAGTTCACACCTGTAATCCCAGCACTTTGGGAGGCCAAGGCATGTGATTGCCTGAAGTAAGGAGTTTGAGATCAGCGTGGCCAACATGGCAAAACCCCGTCTCTACTACAAATACAAAAATTAGCTGGGCATGGTGGCGCATGCCTCTAGTCCCAGCTACTCGGGAAGCTGAAGCAGGAGAATCGCTTGAACCCGCTTGAGGCAGAGGTTGCAGTGAGCCAAGATCTGCTGTCACACACACAGACACACACACACACTATATATATGTAAATATATAAATATATGTATGTGTAAATAACTATGCTAGTGAGAACTCAGAAGGAAGTGGAAAGCCTGGTAGAAAAAAACCTGCAATGTCTTAGAGAATACTTACATCATCATACACAGTCTATTGGTAGAAATATGGACAATTAAGTAATTGCTGGTGTGAGTTTAGAAAGAAATTAAGAACATATTATTGTAAACTGTATAAAAGGCGGTCCTTATTGTATAGTGGAAGATATCTTACCTGTCTGGGTATATCAAACAGCTATGTAATAGGGAGAAATTGCAAGTGATGATTTAGCTGAGCAGGCTTCCAAGCAAAACCAGTGTGGCCTGGTTTCTTTTTGCTGCTTGTAGTAAAATATTGTTTATGGAGAAAATGGATAAATTGAGGGAAGAACTGTGAAGCAAAACGTAGCCATTACTTTTGATTTGAGAAATTCTCAGTCTATCTAAATTGTAAAAGATGCTAATGTTAGGCATATCAATATTCACCGTCAGGAAAGTGTGCTCTGCAAAGAAAGTCAAGAATGTGGCTGGACAATCTTTGGATATTGCCTTGGAAGAAGCAAAAGTTTAGAGTATCCAGTCACAAAAAGTCTCTTTGAACAGATGATACAAGTGATTCATGGATCTTCTTAGACATCTCAACACAGAAGGCAAGAACAGACATGATATTATCCAGGAAAGATGAGTGGAGAAGTCACATTGTGAAATGATGTGAATTCATCTGCCATATACAGAAAACCTAGAAGGTTCTTGTGAATGTTACACCAGCAGAAATGCTACCAGCTTGGACTAAAAGAAACAGAAACAAAAAAATAAGAGAAAGCTTTAAGATTAGCCAAATTCCACATGAAAATAAAATTACTCAGATAAAAACATAAAATACTCTTCATGAAAATGAAAGACTAAGTCCAAGGGTAGAACCGTAAGCCAGGGGATAGAACTAATAACCCCATAAAAGTATTATTAAATCTTAAAACTTAAATTTTGGCCTAGCTTGATTTCCAAATTGTTTGACAAGTAACCATTTTCCCCTCTTATTGTGTTTCTTTTGAAAGAAGATTGTCTATAATTAGTATGCTATGTGTGTTCCACCATTGTATTTTGGGAGCAGTTAACTTATTTTCTAGTTTCACAGGGTAAAGATGGAGCAGAATTTTTCTCCAGTATCAATTACACCATATTCTTACGCTTACCTGATTCAAATATAAGATTTCACAGAGGCTTTTGAGTTGATAAAAATTAAAAGAAATATTGGACTTTGAGTTGATGTTGTAATGGGCTCAGACATTTGGAGATGTTAAGATGGAATTATTATTATTATTATTTTTTACATTCCGATGGACGTTGATCTTGAATATCTAGAATTCAGTATCTCAAATATCTGGACATCTGTGAATATCTTGCCATATAGAGCAAAATGGAATTTGCAGATATGATTAAATTAAGGATATTGAAATGGGGAGATCATCCTGGATTAACCAGTGTGTCCGACGTAATCATAAGTGACCTTATAAGAAGAAGTAAAAAGACAAAAAGAGAGATTTAAATACTCTCTTCTGTTGGCTTTGAAGATGGAAGAAGTAGAAGGAATGCAAATGCTGTCTAAAAATTGGAAAATGCAAGGAAGCAGATTCTTTCCTAAAGCATCCAAAAAAATATGCAACCCTGCTCACATATTGATTTTAGAACATTTTACCTCCAGAATTGTGGGATTATAAATCTGGATTATTTTATGCCTTTACATGTATGAAAATTTTTAATAATATCAATAGAAAACAAATGCAATAAGACTTGAAAAATTATTTAATTCCAATTCATAAATATATTTTCCTCTCATTTTGTCTAAAAGGTTTATTATTTTATCTTTAAAATTTAGGTATGTATTCTATCGCAAAATACATAGATCACCAAATAACCCAGAACTGTTTATTGAAAAGACCTTCTTTTCTCTCACTAAATTGGAATGGTGCCTGTGTTAGAAACAGGTTACTATTGTTGTGGATCTGTTGCCTGGCTCTCCATTAGTTGTATTGATCTATTTTTCTTTTCTTGCACCATATTAATTATTATCTTGTCTCTAATAGGAATTGTTTTCTAGTGTTTGCTTTATTATTTATATGTGCCTTAGTTCTCCTAAGTCCTTTGGATTTCCGCATAAATTCTATGTACATGCAATGAAAACATAGACAAATTTTTCCAAAAAAATAGAACTTAAAGACATTTTAAGTGTTTTTTTTTCAGGGTATAAAATTCTGAGATACAGAACTAATAATGGGCAAATAAGATAGTAAATACATGGTAAATTCTAAACAAACATTGCATTACACAACAACATATAAAAGCAAAATAAAAATAAAATGCATAACAAAAATCAAATATATATTAAGACAAAATTTAATTTTAAGTATTCTAAGTTGGGTGATATGTTCCATGTGTAATAGGGATAATGATCCCTATTCATTTGGAATGTTAAGTATGTCTATTAAAATCCATAGGCTAAATCAAGTACTTGTAAGAAAATGTATAATTTTTTTTTTTACCAGATGGAGGCAAAAACTTAATAACGCAAATATAGGGAATGAAAGAAGATAAATAGAAAGCCAAAAGGATACAACTAGAAAGCCAATAACATAAGATATTAAAAATAAACAAAGATGAATGACCCAGATCCATGGGTGACTAGCTGACACCTAATGGGTACTGATCTTGGCTCCACTAGGTGACTTATTCTTTAGTCCTAACATATAACTCTAATGATGTGGTTCTCACTACCATGCTGTTTATTCTCTAAAGCCCAATGTTCATTACTTAGGCTTCTGAAGCGAGAAATACATTTCCAACACACATTCAATATTTGGATTAGTAGTTTGGGCAACACATTTTTTGGCTTCATAGTTTAATATTTAAATTTTACTGCTCCATATTTGATGACTCATATTCATCTATATATACTAAGAAGGAAAAGCAATTTTACCAATAGAAAATGATTTTGTTTGTATAAAACATCAGAAAAACCCAGATTAATACATCAAATAGCATCTTCTCTGAAGAAAAGCACTAAAACTAAAATCAAATTGGAATTGTCTGTATTATATAATAGAGACATACTATGTTATCAGAATTTTCATATGTAAAAGACAATAATGTTTTCTAGTCAATATTAGACTATTGTTTACAAAAGCTACTTATGCTGGGGTTCTTTGTTGTTGTTGTTCCATCATATTTTTGAAATGTAATCGAATACATTAAATTGTAGGAAAGGTTATAATAATTTTGACTACTAGATGCAAAGTGTATACACATTATAAGTTGCAGATTTTATGCCTGTATTGCGATTGACCTTATTTATATGTTATTGACAAGAATTATGTCAACTGTTGAAATATTATGTGCATTTTAGTTTATAAGACCTTTGAGGACTTGGATAGTGTCTTTGAATCTCCAGCACAGTTGCTCACATAAAATGTTTTATAAATATATACTTGCTCAATAAATGGGTGCTTCTGGTCATAGATCCAAATGATAATTTTCAAGTCAGATTTTCAATTGTTATGCTCAAAAAATGGTATCTACACTTTTTTTTCAACTGTTGTTTTTAATTTACTAAAAAACAAAACATTTAAAATGGTTCCACTGTGTGATTCAATTTATCAGGTGGTTTTGTGATGTTTTTCCAGACAAAACATTTAATTTCTTAAATTTATAGTTATTTTTACAGGGGTTTTTATTTTAATTTGGAAGCAGCACAAACATGTGGAGTAGAAAACAAATTTTTGAATGACAGTAACATACTTCTCAAGGTTAAATAATGCTCAAGCATTTAACCTCATACTTGCGCATTTATTTAACCTCATTAGTTTAAAAATATCTATCATTGTTTTAACTTACATGTTTTGGTAAGAAAAAGAATGTATAAACTATGTGAGACAAATCAAACCATGGGTGATATAAACTCGATTGTAAGGAGTGGTGAATTTCAGTCTATGTCTGTCTTGATACATTTTGGTTCATCATCAAGAGGAATGTTCTGTACTTGCATGTGTGAAACACCCACAAATGTTAGTGCTTATAAAATCAATTTCAGTTTCAGTCATTGGAAAGTCCCATTTGGATTTTTCTACAGTGAAAACAAAATATGCCATAGCACTGTTTTCCTTGATTAGACTGGCTTCGACCATACATTCAGTTCTTTTTTTTTTGTTTAACACACTTGTGGCTTCGGAAATATTCAGTTAAGATATTAAAAGTCCCAATAAAAAAAAAGTGTGTATATTTCAAATTTATTTTCACAGAACTGCTTACAATGGAGACAGTCTGTTTTCCCCTAAGATGTGATCATAAACATTTTTCTTCCAATGGAATTTACAAGGACTCGTTTTTAAGAGTGACTTAATGATGTTTTTATATTACTCTGGGAATTAATTATAATTGGTTGTAGTCTTCACTGTCATTAACCCTTAAATCATCACTATGAAACTTTTACATAACATTATTAACATTTATCTTTCAACTATGAGATAGGCCCGGACTGTTGACAAAATGACATAGGATACTTTCAAATATTTGCCTATGCATTATTTTTTATAGATGACACAGAGAGCAAAAACAAAAACAACAAAATACACATCAGTCTTCATTAGTAAATAGACTAGAGGGGCAATAGTTGAATATCTGGGATATACCAACTGATTATGACTTATTTTTCAAGGCTACTTGCTATGAGAGTTTCACTTGGCTGTTCTAAAACAATATGGTGATTACTGAGCACACAAAATCATGGAACACTATGAAAGAAAAAGGTTTTTTAAACTACATAAAGACAGCATATGCAAAATTATTTTATTTATTTTAGGAACTTTAATTCTGTGTCTGTTTTAGATACGTATCTCTAATGAGATATACAATGAATAAGGAAATAGATAACAAAAGGTGAGATATACAAAATAAAGTATTTCTATTGCCATAAAGTCTTCATCGGCTTAGAATTCCTTATTTGAAATTGACATATCTAAATTCAATCCATCTACCAGGAGTAAATTTAAGGATCATCTCTAAGAATAAACTTCCTATTCCTTTCAGTTGGGTCTGCTACGTCCTAAACTCCCACAGAAGAACTACTGTACACTTAGGCTCTCTCTCTCTCTCTCTCATTTTCTCTTTCTCATTAGTTTAAAAGTTTCTTGCTATTGCCAAGTAAAATCATGCCTGAATCACTGATGACCAGCAATAACATTTAATCTATTTACTTCTAAAGCAACTAACACAGAAATATTGTATTATACCTTTATCCTTTATAATATCTACTGTGTGATAAAATAAGTAAATTTACAGATAAAAGTATGTGCTAGAGAATAATAAAGACATTTTTAAAAATTAAAGGGGAATTTGAAGATCAACAGAATAATGTTCTATAGAATTTACATAATTTCCCAAATGTGGATGGTAAACTAAAAGGTAAAGCATGAGAGCATCCATTCATCTGGATGCCTACATTGCTGACATTGTCCATTAGGAGTAAATGGTGGACATGATTCATGTACTAAAGTGTGTTCTGTTATGTGAAATGAATACGAGAAATGTTGTTCACATATTGTGGAAATAATGCAGCTTTAGTCTAAGCGTACATCAGTTGTTGCCACCACTATACATGGGCAAATGTGTTATTTAAATGGAAAACACCCAAGTTAGAATTAACTTCAATTTTCAACCATAGAAAAGAGGTGGCTCCTGTTATCAGTTCAATGGACTGTGCCAGAAACTGCAGCTGTCAGCGTAAACTGTCTCACAAGACTGAATCTAAAATAATGCCATGCAATCTGCAAAACATTCCAGGGCCTCAAGCCATGTAAGTGACATCACTAACTTTCTGTTAAATTTTTTTTACCGTGGCAATGGTAAAGAAAAAAAAAGTACAAAGAATTCAAGAGTATCAAAACCTAAAGGAATAAAATGGTAGACAAAAATTCAGAAAGGACAGTGGTAGTTGACAATGGTTGATGTTTGATGTGTGTGTGGATAGAAGGTAAGCCATCTGGAGGGAGTTGGTGGCAAGAGTCAGCCCTGAATTGTTCATAGAGATTAATTAGGAAGCATATTGCCATGTCATAAGCTTTGCTTTCAGAATAAAAATAGTACAACGGGCTGCATACATACACACACACACACAGAGTTGTCCTTTGGTATAGATGAGATAATTGATTCCAGGACACCTCCGAAGATACCAAAATCTGTAGATGGTTGATCCCTTTATAGGAAATAGCATAGTATTTGCATATAACCTATTCATATCCACCAGCATACTTTGAATCAACTCTAGATTACTCATAATAATTAAGACAATGTTGGTGGTATGTAAATAGTTATTGTACTGCATTTTTAGGAAATAATGACAAGAAAAAATGTCTGTACATGCTCAGTACAGTCGCAATGTTTTTTTCCAGATATTTTTGATCCCTGGTTGGTTGAATCCAGGGATATGGTACCCATGGTTAGGAAAGATCGACTGTGTATGCATTGGGTTAACTCTGTTTTTGTGTCTCTGGCTTAACCCTAATATTCAGGACCTCTACCATCCAGGGAAATATATCAATAAAAGCAGCTATTCCAAATTTGTGGGACTATATTCCAAGTCAAAATTTTGGCATTTTCTATCATCTATTCACATAACCACCAAGAACTATCTTAATAATTATAAAAATTAGAATAGCATTGAATTTTGGGACAATTATTTTTTTAAAAAAAAAAAAAACAAAAATTACAGACTCAGAAAGTCTGTTTGAAAGTAGTCCATGCTGGGGGTCAGAGAAACAGGAATGCAATCTTTTATATCTGACTTAATAACACGGAACTCACCATATCTGCATTTCTAAGTAAGCCAGAATACCAGGTAATCTGATGAGAGGTAGTCTATTATCAGACAATCAGCACTGCTTGCTAGAGATAAGGATCCCCAAAGAGTGGCCTTCCAAGAGGGGAAGCTGGAGCGCCTCTAGGACAAGTGATGAACAAGGAAGGGACAGTTCATCCACACGGACCATTGACACATGCAAGTTCACCATTAAGAATGATAAGTTTAAAGAAAAAAGCTGGGCACAGTGGGGCACGCCTACAGTCCCAGCTACTTGGGAGGCTGAGGCAGGAAAATCCGTAATCCCAAGAGTTCTGAGCTGTAGTGCTCAATGCCGATTTGGTATTTTCACTATGTTTTGCATCAATATGGTGACCTCCTGGGAGTGGCGTAAGGAGGAGTGAAGTGGAGCAGGTCAAAATTCCTGTGCTGATCAAGAGTGGGATCATGTTTCTGAATAGACACTGCACTCCAGCCTTGGCAACACAGCCAGACCCCATCTCCGGAAAGAAAGAATTTTTTTTTTACAAATTATTAAATTGTATAGAAAAACAGTCAATGAATGTGAATGTAAAGTGAAGAGTTACACTCAAAGAAGTTGGTTTTTTCCCCTAAAAACCAACTAGGAAAATTTTGTTTTCTGTTCTTTTCCAAATTTTTTTAATCAAGTGTATTTTATACATGAGCTCTACAACCAAAGGATGTTGAGAAAGAATATTTGTAAACAAACTTTTTTAAATACATAAAAATTGTTAATGGTTCATGGGAAAGACCACAAAACCACTTGGGCACAATGGCAGTTAACACGGCAATGCAGTGATGGGAACAGCGTTGGAACTCGGTGGCTTGGATTCAAATCCTGGCCTTCCCATTACTCAGCTATATGGAGACCTTTGTTAAGCAGTTTACTAAGGGTTTGGAGGAAATTAAATTAATTAATACATCAGTAAAAACAAAATACCATCATACAAATTGGTCTACTTGACATAGAAATAAATCAAAGCAGTTAACTTAAAATGTAAATTTTGGAATAAATACTGGAATAAAATTTAAAATGAAAGCTGGTGCTGTAAATTTAAATACATTAGTGGACAATTTTAAGTATAAAATAATGGTGCAAATATGGAAAAAATGTAGTTTTCATATCTGAGGGAAACTTCTTGTTAAAAAGTGATACATAGAATGGCTCAGTGTACTCAAATAAATTGATAAAGACTAAAAAGTTAAAGAATAGGATGTTGGAGAACAAATAGACCAAAGAGTATGCCACATTTCTCATAATATAGGAAGTCAAACTATTTAGCTTTTCTATATGAAAATGAGAAACATAAAAATGAAGAAAACCATTATCATTTTTAAAGTACAGATAAATTCAAACTGTAAGCTTTTTATTAATGTAAAACTAAAATATGAAAATAACTAACAAACCTTGAAATAAACAAAATGAAATGGAAATGTAGTAAATTAAGACAGAAACAGTAACAATAAATGATGACAAATAATATAGCCCTATAAAAAGGCAAGGCAAGCAATAGAGCTTCATTTAATTTATATGGTACTTAGGTGAGGCATACAAACATACGCTGGTGTAGAATTGTTAAAAGTAAAAATATAAAATAAAAATGAAATATTAATTGAAATGTATTAAACAAATACAAAAAGTGATAAATGGTGGCAAAGTCAATAGAAAAATCACATTGAATTAAGTGTGAGAATAAATGAATAATTCATATTGTTACATGAGCAATATTTGAAACAATCCACAATGAATTAAAGGAGCATTATATATCCAGTAACATAACATCATAATATATGATGGACTATCTGCTATTAATATAAATAAATTTTTATAATATTTTAATATAAAAGGACAGCAGTAGCATTGACAGATAAAGTTTTAAAAAAGAATTTTAATGATAAAATCAACACTCCAAGCATGTTGGCTCACATCTGTAATTCCAGCACTTTGGGAGATTGAGGCAGGAGTATTACTTGAAGCCAAGAGTTTGAGACTAGCCTGGGTAAGAAAATGAGAACCTGTCTCTACAAAAGGTTAAAAAAAAAAATAGCTGGGCGTGGTGGCATGCATCTGCAGTCCCCACTACTCAGGAGGCTGAGGCGGAAGGATCACTTGAGCCCAGGAGTTGAAAGCTGAAGTGAGCTGTATATTTGCACCACTGCACTCCAGCCTTGGTGACAGTGAGATCTGGACTTTGAAAAAGTAAATAAATGCAACAATGAAAAAATAAAAATAAATCAACATATTTAATATATTGGACTTTCAACTGTAAAACTGAGAATATCTCCTTTCCACACATTACTGTAACATTTATCAAATTTAATCATTATCATAGCTTACAGAAGACCTCAGTGAGTTCTCAAACTTATAAACGTTAAAAAGAAAACATTTTTATTATAATTTAAGAAGACCAACTATGTAGTAATAATAAGTGATGAAACAACCGAATAAAAATGAAGATTAAAAACATTCTTATAAATAACTCTATCGTCAAACAAAAGTAAAAATATAGGGTTAGAGCCTATTTAGAGGAGATTGTTGTTTCACAAAAACTTGATTCCCTTTACTCTTGGACATTCAGTTTAGTACATTTCTCTTCCTCCCTGGCAATAGGATGTGGCCTTGTACCTGAGTTCTGGTCATTGAAATATACATCTGAATAATTTGGCTATTTCTAGGTTTGGCCAACAAAAACCTCCTAAGCACAATCTTCTCCTTCCCATCTATCAGCTGAGATATTATTGGAGGTAGAGACACAGAGGAAAGGACCCTGGGTGTCCAAAAATAACGCTATAAAGACTTTTAACAGTATCTAATATATGCCTTGTTACATTCATTCTTTTTTATTTTAAAATATTTGATTGACAGAGAAAAATTGCATATATTTAAGTTGTGCAATGTACCTATACATTTCATGTACCTATACATTTGTGTACTGTTTTTACAGTCAATTAGTACATCTATCACTGCTTATAATTACTATTTGTGTGTGTGCATGTGGTGTGTGTGTGTGTATATATAAAATCTGCTCTCTTAACAAATTTCAAATAAACAATAGAGTTTTACATTAAATCCTCAGAACTTAAATTAATCTTATAACTGAAACCACCATTCTACTCCCTACTTGTATGAGTTTAACTTTTTTAGATTCCACATTTAAATGATATCATACAGTATTTGTCCTTCTGTTTCTTGTTTATCTCACTTAGCAGAATGTTCTCCAGAGTTTGGAGGATTTCCTTCAATTTATGATTGAAGAATATTCCATTATTTATATACATTATATTTTCTTTATCCTTTCATCTATTTCACTCATCTCTTCTCAAACTACATCAATTTCATCCACACTGAATAGTTTTTAAGGCAGGTAATCTTTCTCCCTTAAAATATCCTTTTTTGATAATCCCTAAAATGTTGTTGGGACATCTCGTGATATTTTCATTTATCGTCAAGGCACAAAGAAATTGTGCAGATTACACAAAGTTTGTAATTCAGAGCCATCTGGAGCAAATTTTTCATGTCAATTCTTTTTTTCTTTTTTGCAATTTTTAATAGGCAATCAATGATATTGTTGTGT
The DNA here is from genome assembly GCF_000001405.40 of Homo sapiens. NCBI lineage: Eukaryota > Metazoa > Chordata > Mammalia > Primates > Hominidae > Homo > Homo sapiens. The sequence goes on along the minus strand of NC_000005.10, from coordinate 18,955,054 downwards.
TTTTTGTTTTGTGAAAATCTAGGCCTCATGTCTAGTTATATGATTTTTTTTTATTATTTTATGTCTTTCTTTCATCACATACCTCTCTTAATCATCACTGTCAATTTCATACTCACAGCACTTTCAACATGCTGTATTATTTATACTGTGTCCTTCGGAATTCTTCCTACTGAATAATTTGTTTCATCCACATGGGCACATTTAATCATTTTTCCATCAGTGGAATTTATTTTACTTTCAATACAATCATAGTCATGGACTTTTTAATAGTGCTTTCATCCCTGTCACTGCATCTGCATTTTAGAAATGACGAAGTAAATAATTTTTGTAAAATCTCTCAAAACTGAGCAAAACATAGCAAGCACTCCAAAGAATAACAACTAGATGGCTGAGACAAAAATGGCAATGACATATCACTAATATTTGTCGGTAGTGGATTGCAGTGACGCTATTTTGTTCTGGAATTTAGCTTGGTTTGAATGGAGAAGAGTCAGTGAAGTAAATGTTTAGAAATAAGGGAACATCTGCTCTGTTATTTATGTTTCTGTCTACATTCTGTAATCTCTTTCTACCTTTCACTTTCCATTCATTCATCCAGTTACTTATCTACCTGTGTATCTAACCTGAATGCTTTATTTCACCACATTCTGATACAAAGTGTGGCCATATTTTAGTTAATGATAAGCTATACTAATTCTGGACTTCTATCATTTGTAACAATATGAAGTTTATATCCTCATCTCTGTCCAACCAAAGTAAAACACAGACATACTGAAACATCACAGAAGCCCACAGTTTATGCATATCATGGTTAAAGTATAAAATAGCCTAAGAAAGTTATTGTGGCTTCACAGTGGCAAAGTGATTTATAAGATTTGAAGAATATTTTTTTCATGGTGGGAAATAACACAATGACTCTTGGATAGAAGAGAAGCAGTTTTTTTTTTTTTTTTTTTTTTTTTTTTTTTTTTTTTTTTTTACAACTCCAAAAAATAGAAGACTACCAAGTGGGGCTACACAGAGTGCTACACCTGGGGACAGGGGAATGGCAAGCTGGAGCCTCAGGGGACAGGTTGTCTATGGCAAGTGGCGTGGGATTAGATAAGTATCAAGGGCTCCCTGTGATTGGCTAATTTGGATAATTTTGGCCATCTCTGGGACATAAAGGCTATCCCTAGCTATCTAGTACTTGGCCCTGGGGCAATTAGAGTGGACGTATAGTGGCTCTGAGTGTGATAGCTCAATAAGGAAAGTGGTTAGGACTGTGCTCAAGAGGGAGAACTGACCAAGTTCTAGCTGGGTCAAGACAGCACAGTAAAAAAAAAAAATTTAAAAAAATTTAAAAAGGATGAAATGCTTCTTGCCTATTCTTTTTTTTCTTTTCTTTCCCCCCCGCCCCCCGAGATAGAGTCTTGCTCTGTTGCCCAGGCTGGAGTGCAATGGCACAATCTTGGCTCACTGCAACCTCTGTCTCCCGGGTTCAAGCAGTTCTCCTGCCTCAGCCTCCTGAGTAGCTGGGATTACAGGCATGCGCCACTGTGCCTGGCTAACTTTTGTATTTTTAGTAGAGATGGGGTTTCACCATGTTAGCCAGGCTGGTCTCGAACTCCTGACCTCATGATCTGCCCTCCTCAGCCTCACAAAGTACTGGAATTACAGGCGTGAGCCCCCATGCCTGTTGCCTATTCTTTTGATAATATATTACTTTTCCGTGCATTGCTCAAGGTGACTCCATCATCATTATCCGCTTTCCAGTAAGCAGTAAACAGAAATAGGAAAAGGGAGGACAAGTCTTCTTTGATAGGCATGGTCTAGAAGCTCATCAGTTTTTCCCACAACTTATTTCATAGCTCTTGATCACATGTTTAGGTCAAACTATGAGGATGCTAGAATCTAATTTCATTGTGAATATTTATATACCCACTTCAAAATGCTATCGCTATAAAAAAGTAAAAAGACATGATGGACAACTAGTAGCAGTTTTTGCCAGAACTGGTGACAATGAATGAAGAGAAGTAATGCTTGTGGTAAAAATCATTGAGCCATAGAGTTTGGCTGGTCCAAGAGAATGCCTCAAGATTGTGGGCTAAGCAATCAAATGAACGGTAGAGCTGTTTTGAGATGGAAAACCTAGGGTAGAAACAGGTCTGTTAGTGAGATTTGAGCAATGTTATTTAGATAAGGAGTAGCACATTAGGACCTTACAAAGTAGATTGAATAAAATCTACCAAAAAGTAACAGGGTAAATAAAGAAATTCTTTTTTTATTGATGCATAATAATTGAACACATTTATATGATATTTGAATACATGAATACATTTTATAATGATCAAATCAGGCTATTTAGGACGTCCATCACTTTTGAATGCTGGGGTTTATTTTTTCTATCTAACTGCATGTTTGTACCCCCTAATCAAGCTCCCCTTCACCCCTTGCCTTCACCCACTTTCCCCAGTCTCTGTTATCTATGATTTCTATTGTCTGTCTCCATGAGATCAACGTTTTGAGCTTTCACACTTGAGTGAGAACATGCAGTGTTTTATTTTCTGTTTCTGGCTTAGTATACTCAACACAATGACCTCCAGTTCCATCTTATTCTACAAATTACATGACTTCAATTTTTTTTGTGTGACCAAATACTATTCCATTATATATACACCAAATGTTCTTTATCCATTGTCAGTTGGCACTTAGGTTGATCCTATATCTTTGCTATTGTGAATAGTGCTGCAGTAAACATGTAAGTGCAGGTATCCCTTATATATACAGATTAATTTTCTTTTGGATAAATCTCCAGTAGTCGGATTGCAGAATCATATGGTAATTCTGATTTTAGTTTTTGAGGAATCTCCATACTGTTTTCCATAGTAGTTGTGCTAATTTACATCCCCCCCAAGAGTGTATAAAAGTTCTCTTTTCCACACATTCTCACCAGCATCTGTTATTTTTTTTGTCTGTTCAATTAGTAATAGTCATTCTAACTGGGGTAAGATAATGTCTCATTGTGGTTTTGATTTCCATACCTGATGATTATGTTGATATGTTGACTACTTTTTTCATATATCTACTGGGCACGTGTATGTCTTCTTTTGAAAAAAAAGGTCTATTCATGTCAACACACTTTTTAATGGAATTATTTGTTTTTGTATTGAGTTGTTTGAGTTCATTGTATGTTCTGGATATCAGTCCATTGTGAGATGAGTAGTTTCCAAATATTTTCCCCCATTCAATTGGTTGTCTCTGCACTCTGGTAATTGTTTTCTTAGCTTTTTTGGTTTAGTATAGTGTGCCATGTCTATTTCATTATAGTCCCCTGTACTTTTGAGGTCTTAACCATGAAATCTTTGCCTAAACTGATGTCTGGAAGTGTTTTCCTAGGTGTTTTTTTTTTTGTACTAGTTTTATAGTTTGGGCTCTTATATTTAAATCTTTTATATCTTTAATCCATCTTGAATTGATTATTGTATTTTGGGAGAGATAGGATTCAAGTTTCATTCTTCTGCATATTTAATTTTCCCACCACTATTTATTAAAGAAGGTGTCTTTTCCCCAGTGTATGTTTTTGAAGTCTTTGTTAAAAATCAATTGGCTGTAAATATGTGGATTTATTTCTGAACTCTTTATTCTGTTCCCTTCGTCTATGTGTCTGTTTTATACCAATACCATGCTGTTTTGGTTACTACAGCCTTGCAGTGTATTTTGATGTCAGGTAGTCTGATGCCTCTAGCTTTGTTTTCTTTGCTCTGGGTTGCTTTGTTTATTTGGGATCTTTTTGGGTTTTATACAAATTTTAGGATTTTTTTTTCTAATTTTATGAAAATTAACAGAATGGATTAAAGGACGAAACACAACTATATACTTTCAACAGCATTTTGACTGAGGGTATTTTGAAAGGAATTGCATTGAATCTGTAGACTACTTTAGGCTATACGGTCATTTTAACAATATTAATTCCTCTGATGCATAAACATTGGATGGCTTTTTATTTTTATGTTTATCCTTTTCATTTCTTTCATTAGTGTTTTGCTGTTTTCCTTCCAAAGAACTTTCACCTCCTTAGTTAAATTTATTCCTAGGCATTTTACTTTTTTGTAGCTATTGTAAATTGGATAGCCTTTAATTTCTTTTTTCAGCTAGTTCATTATTGGTGTATAGAAACACTATTGATTTATATATGTTGATTTTGTATCCTGTAACTATACTGATTTATTTTGGTGGAGTCTTCAGGTTTTCCTAGACATAAGATTATATTATCAATAAAAGGAACAATTTGGCTTCCTCTTTTATAATTTGTATGCTTTTAAATTTCTTTCTCTTGTCTGATAGTTCTAGCTAGGATTTGCATTACTATGTTCACTAAGATTGGTGAGACTGCACATCCATGTCTGTTTCAGTTCTTATAGAAAAGGCTTTTAGCTTTTATTATTTTAGAATGGTGTTGGCTGTCGGTTTGTCACATATAATTTTTATTATCTTGAGTTATGTCCCTTCTTTACCAAATTTATAGAAAGGTTTTTCATCACGAAGCAATGTTGAATTTTAGCATATGCTTTTTCTCTGTCTATTGCGATAATCACGTGGTCTGGCTGTCCTTGTAGATTGAGTTAAAGTTCTTCCACTTCAAATTTTTTGGAGTATTTTGCAAAGAATTTGTGTTAGATTTTTCTTATATGCTTGGTAGAATTTAGCAGTAAAGCCATCTAGGTCTTACTGTTTCATTGTTGGGAGACTTTTTATTATTGATTTAACCTCATCACTTTTAATTGATCCGATGAATTTTATTTTTCCTATTTCTGGTTTAATCTTGATAAGATACGTATTTCCAGTAATTTGATTATTTTCTCTGGATTTTCCAATTTGTTAGCATATAATAGTCTCTCTACAGATATAATAGTTTCTTTACAGATTCTATGTATTTCTGTGGTACCATTTGTAATGTCTTCCTTTTCATGTCTGATTTTATTTTATGGGCTTTCTGTCTTTATTGCTTGGTTAGTCTGGCTAGTGGTTTATTGATTTGTTCATATTTTCAAAAAAACCCACAACTTTTCGTTTTGTTCATTTTTTGGTATTTCTTTTAGTCTTCATTTCATTTAGTTCTGCTCTAATAGTTATTATTTCTTTTCTTCTACTAATTTAGGTTTTGGTTTGTTCTTGCTTTCTAATTGTTACAAATCTCAAGGTATCTTGTTAGGTTGTTTATTTGAAATCTTTCTACTTTTTTGATGTAGGCATATATTGCTATAAATGTGCCTGCTTTTGCTATATCACATAGGTTTCAGTATGTTATATTTCTATTTAATTTTTTTCCAAGTTTTAAAAATTTCCTTCTTAAATTTTTTATTGACTCTTTGGTCTTTCAGGACCATATCCATTTTCATGTATTTGTACCGTTTGCAAAGTTTCTCTTGTCATTGATTTCTAGTTTTCTTCCATTCTGGTCTGTGGAGATATTTGACACAATTATAATTTTTTAAATAATTTATTTGTTCTGTGTGCGGATGAGCAGAATGTATTCTGAAACTGTTGGATAAAATGTTTTTAAATGTCTGTTAGGTTCATTTGGTCTATGGTGAAGAGTAAGTTGCATGTTTATTTGTTGACTTTCTGTCTAGATGATCTGCGTAATGTTGAAGTAGGGTGCTGAAGTCTCCAACTATTAACGTATTAGGGTCTATCTCTCTCTTTAGCACTAACAATATTTGCTTTCTCTATATATATCTGAGTGCTTCTGTGTCAGGTGCATATGTATTTACAGTGGTTATATCTTTTGGTGAAATGTATCCCTTTATCATTATATAATATCCTTCTTTGTCTTAAAAAAACTTTTTTTTTAACTTAAAGTCTATTTTGTCTATGTAGGGGTATTCCTGCACACTTTCAGTTTCCATTTCCATACTTCCCTTTTAGTCTGTGTGGGTCTTTACAGGTGAAGTGAGTTTTCTTAGAAGCAGCATATTTTTGGTTCTTGTCTTTCTTTACCCATTTTTCAACTCTGTATCTTTTAATTGAGGAATTTAAATTGGTGACATTTAAGGTTGATTAATAGACGAAGACTCACTCTTATTATTTTGTTAATTAATTTTTAATTGTTTTGCATATCCTTTGTTTGTTTCTTCCTCTTTTGTTTACCTTTACAATTTGATGGAGTTTTTTGGTAATGATAACATTTTACTTCTTTTTTTTTTCAGTTGTGCATCTGCTCTACCAGGAAGTTTTACACTTTCATGTATTTCCCTAATGATACATACCTTCCTTTGGCTTCTAGATGTAAGACTTCCTGAAGCATTTATTGTAGGACTGGTCTAGTGGAGATGAATTCCCTCAGTTTTTCTTATCTGAGAAAGACTTTACTTTTCTTCATTTTGAAAAGATAGTTGTGTATAGTATTCTTTGTCAGCAGATTTTTTTTTTCTTTCAGTACTTTAAATAAATTATTCTATTTTGTTCTAGGCGCTCAGGTTTCTTTTGAGAAACATGCTGCTACTCTGATGGGAATTCTTTTGTATTTGACTATAATATCCATTAGAGAAAACCTTTTTGGGTTGAATCAATGAGGGGATTTTTGAGCTTCCTGTATGTGGATGTTTACATATCTTGCAAAACTTGGAAGTTTTTCAGGTATTATTTTGTTAAATAGGCTATCTGTGCCTTTACCCATCTCTTCCTCTTCAGAAACTCCCATATTCAAAAATTTGGTCACTTTCTTGTGTTCCACATATCACAGAAGCTTTCTTTATTATTTTCCTTTCTTTCTTTCCTTCTCCATCTCCTTCCTTCTCCTTCTTCTCTTTTCTCTTCTCTTCTCTTCTCCCTCCTTCTTCTTCTTCTTCTCCTCCTCCTCCTCCTTCTTCTTCTTCTTCCTCTTTCTTCTTCTCCTCCTCCTCCTTCTCCTTCTCTTTCTTTCTTCTTTCTTCTTCTTCTAACTGACTGCTTATTTCAAAACGCCTGCCTTCAAGTTACTCTGCTTGATCTAGTCTATGGAAGTTTATATTTTTCATTCTATTTATTTATTGAATTTTTATTTTATTTATTGACTTTTGTTTACTTTGAGGTTGTTTTGTGACATTTACCTTTTTGTTGAACTTCTCACTCATATCATGAACTGTTTTTCTCATTTCTTTGGATTATTTATTTTTGTTGTTTTGTGTCTCATGAAGTTTATAAAATAACATTATTTTGAATTTTGCATTTCATATATTTCCCTTTTTGGGATTTGTTACTGAATAATTATTTTGTTTCACTGGACATGTCACATTTCCTTGTTTTTTACAGTTTTTTGTGTCCTTACATTGATATCATATATCTGGCATAAAAGTTACTTCTTCTAATCTTATGAATTGGTATTCATAGGGAAAGACTTTTTCCTGTAGAGATATCTATAGTGTTGGTTGGGTACACTGCTTTGACTTTGAGTCTGGATGGGCACAGTAGTGTAATCTATGTATAATCTCTTTGGCCATAATCAATGTCAGTGGCATTTGTTAGATTTTTAGAGACTTAGGCTATAGTTGTAGTAGAGTCTATGGCAAGGCTTTGCTGGGGACGGGGATCCCAGGCAGGCTGTACGTTGGGCACCAGTACTGGAAACAGTAAGCTGGGCATGCTTGCTCTGTGCCTTCAGGGGATGTATTCAGGCACCAGTAGTGGCAAATCTGGTAGGCCAATCCCTGGGTCTCCAACAGTGTGCTGGGTGCTGGCAGTGGCAGAAGCAGGCCAGTTGAGCAGGCTTCAAGAAGCCAGATTGTATGTGTGGCATTGACAGTGGCAATAGCAGTGGCAAACTAACCCTTGGGTCCCTGAGTGGCTTGTGCAGGCAGCAGGGGTGGTGACAGTAGACTGAGTGGGCCAATACCTAGGCTCCCAGATGGTGCAAGTGAGTAGGTGCCTGCAGTGGCAGTAGCAGATTGGGCTGGCTGGCTTGTGGGGCCCTGGGAAGTATTTGTGGGCACCAGCAGCACACAAAGTGGGCCCATACTTATGCTCCTGAATGGCATGCATGTGCATCAGTGGTGGCGGGCAGGACAGGTCAATTTCCAGGCCTCCGGATAGTGTGCATGGCAGTAGCACTGGGTAGGGCAAGGCCATCCTCATGCCTCAGATAATGTGAGCAAGCACCAGTGGTGGAATTTAAGGCAGACCTATCTCCAGACTCGACTCCTGGACAGTGAGCATAAGCAGTGGTGTCAAGTGGGGTAGGGCCAATCGCTAACCGAATTGTAGTATTTCCTTCACTTATGAATATAGGGGAAAAATTACAGTAGTAGCAGAACCTTTGGCCTTATGAGTAATAGAAGTCACTGTTATTTTCATATGAGATATTATATATGTCAATATAGCAAATATGCTCATCCTGACTTTGAAATTATGTTATTATTAAACTTGCCACTAAATCCTGTTTATAATGCATTTAGAAAGAAGGACGTCTATTACCAAATCGTGTTTAAACATTTTGACATTTATCTTTTAGTATACTTGGTTTTCTTGGGAAACCTCTACATTTTCTTTTATGGATTTAAAATAATTACAGGCACTCAAAGAAGGAGTTTACCCTGCTTTAGAAGACTGCCAGAAGAATGTATTACCCACCAACTGATTAAGAACTCCTCATTTAAACAAATCTGCTAAAAAGAGACTAATGAGCCAAGAATGAAGCATTTTTTTATGTTGTGTGTTTTCTAAAATAAACCTTTCAATCATAGTATATCTATTTTTTGATGCAGCATTTGACAAAATTCATGGTAAATATTTTGTGAAAAATATCACTTGCAAATGTTCATATACCTACTCACTCTGAATTTCTTATTTCTTTCAAAGTACTAGTTTATAAGGATTATAATCTCTTCTCCTCCAAAGTACATTGGATAGTCTCATTTATTTAGGTGATATTAAATTCCAGAAGGTGAGCCTCATTTCCTACATAATTGTTTTCCTAAAGCTAAAACACTAGTTAACTCTTATCGGTAGCGGATAGATTTTGAGATCCCCAGTAGATGTCTAAACTTGTGAATAGTACTAAACCCTATCTACATTACTATATTTGTTCCTATATATAAATATCTATGATGAAGTTTAATTTGCAAATTAGAAGAGTAAGAGATTAACAATAACTAACAATAAAATAGAACAATTATAACAATATACTGTAATAAAAGTTATGTGAATGTGGTCTCTTTTTTTCTCTCTCAAAGTATCTTATTGTACTGTACTCACCTATTTTCAGACAATCATTGATCATGAGTAACTGAAACTGTGGAAAGACACACTGCAAATAAGGAAAACTACTGTATGTAACCTTAACACTAACCCCCAAATTAGGTTTCTCAGAGGATAACCATAGTTTCCACACTGCAAAATATTATAAAATGAGTTGCAAGCTGTAATAAAGTACTATGTAAATTTTCAAAAATATTTTCCTTCAATAGAATGAGAGTATTATAAAGTACTATGTAAATTTTCAAAAATATTTTCCTTCATTAGAATGCAAGTATTAAAACGTTACCAAATAACATATATGAGAGTATGTCTTCCTTTCCCATTTATACACTGATTAAAATAAAAGTAATACATATTCAGAACTGCATTTTAAAGATAAAAATTATTGTTAGAATTCCTGTTTTTAAATATAATCTTTCACTTAAATCAATGGTTCCTAAATAGGGATGACTTTGCTCCCACTCAGGGTATATTTCTAATACCTGCAGATATTTTTGGTTGTCATAATGAGGAGTTGATGCTATTGGTATCTAGGGGTAGAAGTCAGGAATGGTGTTAGATATTCTATAATGCACAGAAGAGCATCCTACAATAAATAATGTGGCCCAAAATGTCAATAGGGCAGAGGTTGAGACGCTCTGGTTCAGATGTTTAAATCAATATAATGTTAAGTAAATTAACCAGAAAAGAAGTCCCAATAAATTGACACGCAGCCTCTTATCTGGAAATTCTTTGCCCCCTGTTAATTTATTTCCAATATTTTCCTCTCTAATACCAAACCAGCATATAAGCTGACGTTATGCACCTCCCGTAAAGAAATCTTTTCATCTATTATGTGGTTTCCTCAAATTACCACATGCTGTCATACCGATCATTGTCTTAAAACAGTTGTGCATTCCACTGTCTTTACTCAATTCCGTTTTATTCACATCTAAATTGTCTTCAATTCTATACTAAACCCCAATACCAAAAAATTCTCATATCCTTTATAGTGAGATTATTTTACTAAATTTGAGGGACACTTTTAAATATATTCATGTTACCTGACCACCTAACATATTGGCATTGCTTATCATGACCACACTATTTTTACTGTGAAGTATTTTGTCATTTGCCTTTAATATAAGGTGCTACACTTTCCTAATTTTCCTTCCACTCACTTACATGATCTTTTTCAGCCTCCTCATCCATGTCCTCTTTCTTGTTGAACAAATAAAATGTTGATTTCTACAGAAACTGAATGTGTGCTTCTACTTTTTCTATTCTGCATATAGTCATAGGCAATATTTGTTACTCCAGGGCTGTCACATATCATCACTAGAAGAATGATTCCCAAATTCTATCTTCACCGTATTTTCTTTTTTAAAAAAGAGACCTGATTATTCAATAACCTACTTACTAGTATAATATGCACGTGTCACACACAACATGTCCACAATGGGGCACTTGGTTTGCCATTCAAAACTCACACCTCTGCCTTTTTTTTTCTTATTTCAGTAAATGACGTTATCAGCTGATTAGTGATTGAAAGCAAACACCTGGGGGTTTATATTGAGACGTACTCAATCTATTTCTCTCCCTCATTCTCATATCTAATCAATCATTAAGTACTACCAATTAGACTGTAATATTCTCTCAACTCTGTAAATTTCCTACATTTCCCTTTGCCGTTATTCTCTTATTGCCTATCTTCATTGTTTAACCTAGATTTCTGCGAAATCTTCTGAGGGCTCTCTTTGACTTCTCTCCAGATAAAAACTTTAATTGTCCTTTATAAGTCTCATGGTAAATGCCTTACCCTGGTTTACAAAACCCTACATAATATAGCATCTGATAGCCTTTGTGGTTTGGCATTTATCTCCCGCCCGCCACCCACAACCCCCACACCTCACTCTACCACCTACAGATCTACTTTGATTTCCTGATGGAAGCTTAAACTCATATCCAGATTACAGACCTTGATTCAATTATCTTGGAAGGCTTTTTCCTCCTTTTTCTAGCTAACTTCAACTCATTCTTTAAGACCCAGCATAAGTTTATATTGTTTCAGAAAATATATTGTCATGCTACCAACTGAAATATGACTTCAGCACTCATATTCCTATATATCCAAAGCACCTTTGCTTTTCCCATCTTAATTATTATCCACTGTAATATAAATATTTGTTTGTTTATATCAAACACCAGCTTAGAGTACTTGGGATTATGTATATGGTTCATTCTCTTGTTCTCAACATGTAATACAATCTGTTTCCCCAGCAAAAAACTCTTCAAAACAAATTTTAATTTTAACCATATTTATAAAATTTTTATCAGATCATTTCAATCCAAAATGATGTATCTTGATATGAATTCATAGCACAAATAATCTCTTTCCACATTTGCTCAATCCAACTGATGATGTTCTATATAAAATAAAAAATAAGAAAAAGTTATAATATCCTATTTGGGTTTATAAAAATTTATATATTTTTTTCAGGTATATTATCTAAAACTTATTTTGTTTTTGTTGAGAAAATAATAAAAATAAAATGAATTTATCAGCTGTTTAATGAATTTGATCAAAAGTATGCCTAGTGGGGAAAATTGAGAGAGGTGATTAATGATAATGAATTCTTTTTCCATCCTTCATAAGATTTATAAAACACACTGATTTTTATTGTTTTTTTGTATTTCATTTATATATCATACAATTTATGATTAGAAGTCACATATAAGGAAAGGTGAGGAAAAAGTTGAGAATTTAGAAAGACTGAGGCAAAAGATGCGGAAAAAAACAACAAGAAGTTATCTGTGAGCTTATTAATACCTGCACAAAGAAATAAGGACAAGAATACCACAGCTCCTACAGACATAGAGATCTACAAGATTTTGAATTATTACTTTTCTGACTATGAACATTTAATCGTGTGGTACAAAAAGTCCAATTAACAAGTGAAGTCACAGAATTGCTGAATTAAATAAAAATAAATAGGGACTTGAATTTCACGCACAAAGATAACACAATTGTTTCTATATCATACTTTAAAAAAAGTATTGTTGTATATTACATAAAGTGAAAAATTCATAAGCGTAGAGCTTAAATATTTACTTTCTTTCTTTTTTTTTTTTTGAGACGTTGTCTCACTCTGTTGTCCAGGCTGGAGTGCAGTGGTGCCATCTCGGCTCACTGCAACCTCCACCTCCCAGGTTCAAGAAATTCTCCTGCCTCAGCCTCTTGAGTAGCTGGGTTTACAGGTGCCTGCCACCATGCTGGCCTAATTTTTTTTTATTTTTTATTTTTTAGTGGAGTTGGGGTTTCACCATCTTGGCCAGGCTGGTCTTGAATTCCTGACCTCGTGATCCACCCACCTCAGCCTCCCAAAGTGCTGGGATTACAGGCATGAGCCGCTGGGCCCGGCCAATACTTTCTGAATGAAAATTTTTGTTCTAGGACATTCTCAGATTTTCAGAAAAATTGCGACAACAGTTCAGAATGTTTTCGTGTATCACACACCTAGTTAATCTTATTATTAAAATCTAACTTTACTTAGTATAATTGTGACAATTGATAAACCAATGCTGTTTAATTATTATGTATGAAGTTCTTACATTTTTCAGATTTGCCTAATTATTTTCTAGGATCTCATCCTGGATTAAACATTACATTTAGCTCTCATGCTTTCCTAGACTGGCTTTCAAACATTCCTTTTGGCTGGAACAATTTCTCAGAGTTTTTTTGTTTGTGATGACTTTGACTGTTTTAAGAAGTGCTAAGCAGGTATTTTGTATTATTACTTCTCAGGTATTTCTCAGTAAAGATTTTTCTGTTGTTTTCCTCATAATTAGACTGGGACTATGTGGTTTGGGGAGGAAGACCATAGAGGTAAAGTGGAAATTTCATCATAGTAATAATGATGCGTATTATTAACATAATTTATCACTGTTGATGTAGACTTGATCACCAGAGTGAGATAGTACTTATCAGATTTCTTCATTGTAATGTTACTGTATGATTCTTCTGTTCATACGTAGCTCATTGGAGAAAGTAACTACATAACGTTCAAACTAAAGATGTGGCAAGTTGAGCACCATCTCGAGTGTCTGCTGTCAATATAAACTATTTTGAATATTTCTACACAGAAATGTTGTCTTTAGTCCTCATTTATTTATTTGCTCAACCATTTATTGATACCAGTATGGACTTAGAAATATTTATTTTATAACTGAGTATAGTTGTTTTGCTCTACTTGCTTATTCAGGAAATTTCGTTTGGTCTTTGGGATTTATTACATTATAATCATGTAATCAACAAGTAAAGAGAGTTTCATTTCTTTCTATACAATCTGTATATATTTATTTCCTTTTCTTATTTTATTACCCTGTCTATGACTTCTAGTATAATATTGAATAGGGGTAGTGAAAGAGGACAGCCTTTCTTTGTTCCACATTTATGCTGAAAACTTCCAGTTCCTCACCATTAAGAATAATTTAAGTTGTATATTATTTGCAGATGCTCATTCATCAAGCTGAGAAATTTCTCTTCTATTCTGAGTTTTAATCATGAATGAGTCTTGGATTATTCAAATATTTTTTTTCTCCATCACTTGATATGCTCACATAATTTCTCCTCTCTAGACAGTTTATGTGGTGATTATAACCATTGATTTTCAAAGACTGGTCATGGTATATATCTTGTTTTACTTGTTGTTGGGTTTTCTAAGTTTTCTTTTTTAGCATTTTTGCATCTATTAAATGAAAAATATTCATCTGTAAATTTCCTTTCTTGTAAGGTCATGATTGTGTGTGGTATTAGAATAACAATGGCCTCTTAGAATGAGCTAGTCCTTTCTATGCTTCTACTTTCTGGAAGAGACTGAGATTTCTTCAATTGTTTCTTCCTTAAATGATTGGTACAATTCTCCAGTAAATTCACCAATGAACTTATCTGTGCCAAGAGCTTTCTTTTTTGAAAGGCTATTCATTATTGATTCATTGTCTTTAGTGGATAGAGGCATATTCAGATCATCAGTTTCTCCTAGTGTGAGTTTTGTAGTATATTTCTGTCAAAGATAGTTCCTTTTCTTCTAAATTATCAAATTTGAGGACATAAATGTGTTTATGGTATTAACGTATTATACTTTTAATGTCTATAGTATATTGAAATGATAACCCCTATTTCATTTCTGATATCAAGTACTCTGTGTCTTCTCTCTCTTATTTCTTAATTAGCTAAGATAAGGACTTAACAATTTTACTGATGTTTTCAAAGAACCAGCCTTTGGTTTTGATATTACTTTTTCTTTTGGAGATGCAATGGGTGAGATTTCTATGATGACTAGATTTTCTTAGAGCCAATAGAGGGACGTTTTCATTTTTATTTGCCTTTTTAGATTTTTTTAAATAACAGACTTTCTAAGGCAGTTTTAGCTTCACAGCAAAATAGAGCAGAAGATACACCAATTTCCCACATATTCCCTGCCTCTACACATGTATAGACTCCTTCATTATCAATATTTTTCACCAAAGTGGTACGTTTGTAAATACTGACATCTCATTGTCACCCAAAGTCCAGAGTTTATATTAGGGTTCCCTCTCGGTGGTGTACATTCTGTGAGTTTGGGCATATTTACAATGGCATGTATCCATCATTATAGTAACATACAGTCTTACAATTTTGTCTTTTAATGTCATATAATTGGAATTGTGCAATATGTAAGTTTTTCAGACTGGCTTCTTTCACTTAGTAATATGCATTTGTTTTCTCCATGTCTTTTAATTACTTGATAGTACATTTTGCTTTTAAAACTGAAGGTTAATCCCATTGTCTAGATGTAATACAGTTTATCAATTCATCTACCAAAGGAAATCTTGGTTGCTTCTAAGTTTTCGCAACCATGAATAAAGATGCTATAAACATCTATGTGCAGGTTTTTGTGTGGACATGTGTTTTTAACTCTTTTGAGTAAATGCTAAGAAAAAATGACAATTTTAGGGATTGTTTTTCCTTTTAATTTTCAGGATCTTAAATTATTTCTTCTTGCTTTGTTATTGTTCACTGTTTCAATTCCAAAGAGCTTTTTCCTTTTCACTTCTTTTTTCTACCATCTTCTCCTCCTAACAGTTGCTTTTCCAAATTGCTTTCTTGTGGCCCATCCACAATTTTGTTCTCTTTTCTGTAGTCAGTGCTCTGATTTAAATTTTTATTTTTTCAGCATTTTTATAATGCGGTAAACTTGCTATTTCTTGAGTGACTAGTTCACACTTAGACTTTGCATTTTAATTTCTGTACAATTTCTGCACCCAGTTACTCTTCTAAAGACTTGAAAAGAGACCACCAAAAATATATCTACAGAAAATAGTTGTTTATTATTCTAATTACAGGGGACTCTGTGCTTCCAATCTTCTGTTTCTTCTGGTTTTGCTGAAGATATGCTACTAATGAGATTGTATTTTACTTGCCACCAATCCATACACTTTCGGAGGACATGGTGGATGATTTGGATTTGAGCAGCTGCCAAAATTTTGGCAAAATGAAAATTTTAGTCAGTTCTTTTTTTTATTTTAAGAAAATATATTAAAAAGTCATATTTTCCACATATTTAAATCTCTATGATTCTTTGCTGCACAGATGAATTTCCATCTGGAATTATTTCTGCTCAGCTTTAAGAACTGTCTTTAGCTGCAGGGACAAATAAACTGGTTTAAAAAAAAAGATCTTATTTCATTAAAAAATTTTTTTGCTTTTCACTGAAATTTGAAAGGTATTTACTTTGTCTTTAGAATTGTAGAGTGGCAGCTCTGGTTTATTCTTTCACCTGTTTAGCATATCATTCCATTGTTTTTTGGCATCCTTTGGGCCTTCTGCAAATGAGCTGCAATTCTGTCATTTTTGTTGTTCTTGTCTACATAAAATGTATATTTTTTCTATGACTTTTAAAATAAGATTTTGTCATTATCTGTTTTTCAGCAATTATGTTTTTCAGTTATGATGTGCTCGACTGCTATTACCTTTTTATTTATGTTAGGCTAAATTTTTTTTTTTTTTAGATGGAGTTTTACTCTTGTCACCCAGGCCGGAGTGCAATAGTGCGATCTCAGCTCACTGCAACCTCCTCCTCCTGGGTTCAAGCAATTCTCCTTGCCTCAGCCTCCCGAGTAGCTGGGATTACAGACGCACACCACCACTTCTGGCTAATTTATGTATTTTTAGTAGAGAAGGGGTTTCATGATGTTGGTCAGGCTGGTCTTGAACTCCTGACCTCAGGTGATCTGCCCACCTCCGCCTCCCAAAGTGCTGGGATTACAGGCATCAGCCACCATGCCTGGCCACTTATGCTCAATTTTTATGCTTTATGTTTTATTTATGATTTGGTTATATTTTTATGTAGGTGTCTACCAAAGGATTTTTATACTTGAATAAATTACTTCATTCAGCTCTGAGTCTAATAGGTATGTGATATCTATTTGCCTTCTTAGCTCTAATAATTGAACCTTAAAAATCTGAAGAATATAGAATAAAATAAAATGTTAAGTACCTGAAAACATATGTATAAGATAATGGCGACTAAAGTAAGAATAGAGTATTCAAACAATTTATATAAATGTGATTGTGGTAGTATTAATGAAAAAAAAAGATAGTGTTTTTTCCTGCAGCTTGTCATTAGCTATGTAGTACTTATTTGTTTTTTTATTCTCTATTATTTTAATGTTCAGTTTCTGTGAAGATAGCATTTTAGATTGATGTAATTATCAGTTTTTATAACTCTATTAGTTCTGATGCCTGATGTACTAAATCAACACAAACTGGATGCATGGAATAAAATAAATGTATTCTTTCACTGTTCGAAAACCAAACTTGAAGTCAAGTTGTTGGCAGAGTGGACTTCTTCTGGAGGCTCTGAGAAAGAATTTGTTCCATGAATCTCTACAGGCTTCTGTTGAGTATGGCAATCTTTGGTGTTCCTTGGCTTACAGCTGCATAACTCTAATTTTTGCAACTTTCTTCACATGGCCTAGCCATCCTTGTAGGTTTCTCTTCTTTTCTGCCTACAAGACACTTATCTTTGGATTTGGGACCCACCTGATTAATCCAAGATGGTCTACTCTTGAAATCTTTCATTTAGTTACATCTGTACATATACCCTTTATTCAAATAACATCACATTAACAGATATAAGGGGTTAAGATTTAGACATAACTCTTTGTCATTCATAATACAACCCATACAATGACCCAAACAGTTACCCCTATAGGATTTTAGACATATATAGTCTTGTAGAGAGTGCCAGTCCTATTTCAGGATAGATTGCTTATAATAGTTTAAGAAGTCTTCATCAAGACACTGACTTAAACACTAATATTTTTTGTCATATTGTGCAAAAGCAATTCATTTTTTCTCAGAATTAAAATTCAGTAAATACCATAAATTCTGTTATATTAGGTTTTCCAAGTAGCAGAAATATGCTAAATGACTATCTTACATGATTAGCTTTCCGTTTATGTGTACATCTGTTTTGCTTTTCGAAAATATTCTACTTTGTGGGACTAAATAAGAGAAAAGAGACTTCTGCAGATAGAAAACAAGGTATTCATGGAAGCTGATTAAGTGTAATGATGAAAGATGACAAACAAATTTTTATTTTCTAATCTCTTTTTTATGACTATGGATAAAATAAAAGTTGTACATTTTGATCTTTGGTATAGAACATGTACTATATTTTGCAGGAAAGAACACTAAACAAAGTTATTGGGTTTCAATTTACATCATACCTAAGTGTTTAGTAGAACGTTCTAATTTCCTAAATAACCAATTGCTTCAATATAGTGAATACATACTAATGTAGAGAATTCTACAAGTATTTATCATTATTTTTTAAATGTTTTGCTATAAATTTGTGGATCAGAAGAACTATACTGATGGTTGCCATGAGAATGTAAAACACATTCTTCTGACAGACAGTGATGTTTTTCCATGGCAGCAGAAAAGGAAAATCTAAATTGAAAATGAGCACCTCCTCCAATTAAAAAAAATACGAATCTTTTCATGGTAGAAAGAGTCTGATATATTCAGTGTTCTATCAATAATTATCTGATCCCTCAGTTTATGTTGCTGTATGTTTTGCCTTTCTTTCGGATAAATTATGGACTTGTTATTCATTGTCTCCATGTTAGCCTTGGTGAAGGAAGAAGATAATTGTTATTGAGCACACACATATCCTCTGTTCTTAACATATGACCAAGTCTTCAAAAGCAAATGCAAGTCTAGAAACTTTTGCATTCATTCAGTAAGTTTACGGGCGCAGCATATCCAATTTTGTAGACATTGTTTCCAAATTCTCAAGTTGTCCCAAGCAATGCATTTCTAACTTAATGATCGAGGGATCAAAGCTTAGAAAGCCATATTAATTTGAGGAACCCAATTTAACCAATGTAATTTATCTCTGGAAGACTCACTGAGGTATTATACACTCATACTATGTTAAGATTTTCTCCCATCCTAGGATTTTTACTGAGGCAACTATAATGCTTTTTTATTTATTTATTTATCTATTTATCTATTTATTTATTTATTTTTGCTGTCCATGAAATCCTGAACCATTAATTTTCCTGTGACATAAATTACATCATAGAACTCATAACTGGGGTAGTCAGGTCAAATCTCTGTTCCCAGCAAAGAATACTCATGCCTAATTCCTGGAATTTGTGAAATGT
Source organism: Homo sapiens (assembly GCF_000001405.40). Taxonomy (NCBI): domain Eukaryota; kingdom Metazoa; phylum Chordata; class Mammalia; order Primates; family Hominidae; genus Homo; species Homo sapiens. The sequence continues at coordinate 18,936,145 of NC_000005.10, read as the reverse complement.
TACATTGTATGGCAAAGAGGACTTTATAGATATAATTAAGATTATGAATGTTCAGAAAAAAATATTAGCGTGAATGTCTTATAGACTCACTATATGGAGCCACTATTATTACAAGAGCCTTTATCAAAGAACATTGATGGTCTAGCTGGAAGCAGAAAAAAAAGCAACTGAAGTCAGAGAGATTCAAAGCATGAGAATAATTGAACACACTGTTGCTGGTTAGAACATGGAGAAGACTGTGTAAGGAGGGGTATAGACCAGCCGTAGGAAGTGAGAGAAGCTCAGAGATGGCAGCCAGCAAGGAAATGGGGACTTCAGCGATACAATCACAAAAGACTAAATTTTTCTAACAACTTGAATTATCTTAGAAACAGATTTTCCCTTAGAGACTACAGATACAAACCCAGGTCAGCTAGCATCTTGATTTCAGCCTTCTGAATCACAAAACAGAGAAAACAATAGAGTAAACCCAGACTTCTAACCTACAGAACTATAAGATAATAAATATTTGTTATATTAAGATATTAAGTTTGTGATAATTTGTTATATAGTAGCAATAGATAACTAATATAGTCATATAACCTTGTGGTGACATAGTGAATCCTACTTCTTTGCAAGTTTGTTAAAGTAAAGCATTTTTGGTGGTATTTTTTGTTTTGTTTTGCATGTTTTAATATAAAAAATAGACACTCATTTGCTGCAAAACTCCACTTTATTTACCAAGTGTTGCACTGATTTGAACCACAAAAAGACTACCTCTGAACAATAGCTGCATTTTGCAGTGGCCATAGGATTAAACTTACAAAAATTATAATTTGTATTTTTGGTTAAGAAATACTTAGAGTTAAATGTGGATACTTATTGTTAATTAAGACCTACGAATCCATTTTGGAGACTGGAGCTCAATTCTTTGGATTGTCTACCATGTAGTATTAATTTGGGTTTATTATTTTAGAACAGAAGAGGAATTTTTAAATTTAATATGGATTTACATGGTGTTTCCTGTCAAAAGTATTCCTTCATTTTATGACCCAGAGAAAGAATAAATAAGTTTATCCAGTTACTATATGTATTTAATTATATGCCTCAATAACTAAGAAACAATGATTTCAAATAGAATATGAAATTATATTTTGTCATAAGTCAAGGTATCACCTGATCTTTACAAAACTCCACAATGACAGCTAGAACACTTTGGTATATTCTATACCCTAGAATAAGCATAAAATCAATGTTACTGCCTAAAGATTGCAGGAGCTGTTTTACTTGTAAAAATAGCCATATTCTGGCAGGCACCTGTGGTCCAGCTACTCGGGAGGCTGAGGCAGGAGAATGGCGTGAACCCGGGAGGTGGCGCTTGCAGTGAGCCGAGATAGCGCCACTGCACTCCAGCCTGGGCGACAGAGCGAGACTCCGTCTCAAAAAAAAAAAAAGCCACATTCTGTTTGAGTAATCTAATAGAGATATTATCAGTATATACAGAAATATATGGCCTTCTGGATGGTTACTTCAGTCCCATTAATTCATAAATTGATGGATATGTTAAGACTCCGATCAAATAAGATTATTATGTTGGCTTAATGTGTCGTTAGAATATTCATAGTTATATACATCAGGATGAACTTTAGATCATTTCTGACTATTTGTTACTGAAGTCACAGTGATGTATTAGCTAACATCAAAAAATTACCCAGATCAGACTATTCTGAATTCATACTGTACTCCTGTTCTTCCTTATGGGACTCTACCACTTCAGAGAAAAGGAAGTCCAACTCAAATATAATGTCCCCAGTTATAATTTCTAACTATTGAATTACAACCCACAGTTGTAACCATCACCATATTTCTCAAGGCTTTTATGAAAGGAATGTCCAATTGTTCCTGTAAAGGGTCTTCATGAACAACATGCTTCAACATTCCTACTAAATAATTCAATAAAAAGGTCGGGCACGGTGGCTCATGCCTGTAATCCCAGCACTTTGGGAGGCCGATGAGGGCCGATCACGAGGTCAGGAGTTCAAGACCAGCCTGACCAACATGGTGAAACCCCGTCTCTACCAAAAATACAAAAATTAGCCAGGTTTGGTGGCACGTGCCTATAATCCCAGCTACTCAGGAGGCTGAAGCAGGAGAATCGCTTGAACCTGGGAGGCGGAGGTAGCAGTGAGCCGAGATCACACCATTGCACTCCAGCCTAGGCGACAGAGTGAGACCATCTAGAAAAAAAAATTAATTAATTAATTAATTAAAAAAGAATTCAATAAAATTTAGTATGATAATTTTATTAATCGTGTGCCACTCTTGAGGCTATACTTTGGAAAAGTTAGAGCAAATAATTAGAAACAAACCCAACTAACAGAGAATCACAACATATTATTTGTAACTAAACACATATATACAAATTTCACCCCAATAAAAAGTGAAATCCTCCTTTATTTTATTTTAGAAACCATAGTTGCACATATATTAAAATATTAGTAAACTTTTTCAATTGCATTTTGTCTAACACTTATACTTCAGTGTTTAACATTATCAATAGCTCTGTGGTTAAATAGGTGTCTGATTCTAGTTTTATTATTGGAGAAATTGAAGACTGAGGGTCTGTGGAAAAGGAAAATCTCCTTTAAATTATGTTATGGCATTTTTATTAATATTGTCCAGAATAGTTCAGTGGGAACTGGGGATTCAGAACAATCTCTGTACTCCTTCCTATTTAGGTAATTACTACAGGAGATCTCCTTTTTATTGATGTAATTATTATAAGGATTTTTTACTCTTATTTTCACATAACTACTTTGATGAGAATGTGACTTCAACTTTTCTTCTTATTCTTAACCCTTGGAATAAAACTGATACTGTATTTCCAGCTATTTCAACCCAGTGGCTGCAACGGGTAATTCATTCCTTTCGAAATACCCTAGGAAACCACTGGGATTTAGTCAGGATTCATCCCAGAATATAAGAATTTCAGACTGCCATTCTCATTCATGAGCTATCCAATGCCTTTCAAAATTCTCATTTCATGTGTAAGTTTCTGATTTCTATGTGATGTCTTCTACCACAACTGACACAGAATTTCATTCAAACCTTGACTTCAATGCACATATTAATTCTAGGTGGGCACAGAGAATAATAAAATTAGCTGCCTTATATCTTCAGTCTAGATTTCTGACTAGTTCTAATAAATATTTCTACATTTCCACCATTTTTAGGACTTTGTTTTTACACTACTAAGTGCTCTTTGTTAACAATAACAACAGCAACAAAAAAAACCCAGATACTGCATTTTGACTCTAATAGAAAAAAATTATTTTAAAGGTATTATACAGAGCAAAATATTATAGTAGTTTGAAATAAACGAGAGTTCAAAAATAAGTAAATGTATGGGCACCATAATGAACAAAAAAGTCAACATTAGACCAGATTGTCAGAAATATTGGTCACAGAAACAACCCGAGAAATATCAAACAGATTTTTACTTTTTTAAAAAAAGGTTAAGAAATGAATGACAGTGGAAATAGTGGAATAAAAATCTTGGAACATTCAACCTTCAACAAAAGCAACAAAAATGCTAGAAAATTACCACTCTGAAAGCTTTTTTGTTTTCAGATTTTTAGAAATTAAGCAGGGTTTGCAACCATCTGAGGATTGTTTGTTTAAAAAATGGCTTTCAGTAAAGAACGTGTATTTTGTGTCAGGTTAATTTGCCCTGTTACCATCATCCTCTCTCTTAGCCATTTTGTAGCCTTGAAAATCAAAAGTCTGACAACCATAATGTCTGGTAAAATCCAGAAACCTAGCAGACACTGGGAAACACAATATGGGGCTGGAGCTATACAAAAGTCCTGAATGAAGAGAACAGTCAGCAGACCTGCCTGGCAATTCTCTGAAAAGCTGCACTCACAAAGCTTCTCTTAATTGACTTGATTCAGAGCTCAGTGATTGTGAACACATTTTTCGCAAGGCATTTGTCAAAAATAATCAGTGAAAATTGCTGAACACCACAGCTGCCTAAATCCATAGTAAAAGTTAGGACAAACAAAAGGAGACCAAATATTCAAAAGGGAAATCTGTAGAATAAAATATTCACAGGGACTTTTTTTTTTAAACTCTAGCATATTTCTAAAAATCTAAAATGTTAGCCATAGGTGCAGGGCTGTGTGTATGCTCTGGAGAGTCTTTTGAAGTCCCTACCTTCTTTATGGCTGATTTTGAGGCCCTGCTTAAGCAGTAAGCGAAGGCTAAGGCAGAGTTGTAAACTGCCTGCAGAGCATGGAAGGTGCACTCCAAAATAAAAACACAGCCGCTTAGCACAGGCTGAGGGGCTTATTTCATCAAAGGCTTTTAGGCAATCTCTGACCAATCATTAGGTGATCACAGTTCTATCCAAGGAAATATTGCAATTGACAGACAACAAACAAGCAGAATTCATTGAATTGGTTAAGGAAAGCCATTAAACAAACAAAACAGCAATAACACCAAAAAATACTGGAGGAGAGTATCACTCCAAAGTTGTCAGATTATAGCATGTGAAATTTCCAGTTGTCTACCTACTAAAATTACAATATATTAAAAAAACAAGAAATGTATTTCGTACATTGGAAAAGACGTCAATAGGAACTGTCCCAGAGGAAGTGCAAACAATTAACTTACTATGCAAAGACTTTAAATTAGCTATCTTATGCAAATTAAAATAATAAAGAAACCTATGTATGAAGAACTAGCAGAGATTATGATAATGTTTATTCACCAAATCAAAGAGATAGAAATTATTTAAACATAGAAATTCTTTATTTGAAAATTATGAAAAGTGAGATACAAAATTTATTAGAGGGTTTTAAGATTTGACCTGGCAAAAAAATACAGTATCAGTAAAAGTCAAGAAAAGTAAATTGTGATTATCTAGTCTGTGGAGCAAAAAGAAGAGGATGAAAAAAATGAACAGAGCCTCAGAGACAAGTGCAATAACATATGCATATTGTACATATTGGAAGTATTAGAAGAAAAGGAGAGTCAATAAAGAGAGGAGCAGAAATAATGGATGAATACTACCTAAATTTGATTTTAAAAAATTGATGTACACATCTAAGAAGTGGAATGAACTAAAAACTAATTAATCCAGAAATTAAAAGTATTATTAGAGAATAGTATGGACATTTTTATGCCAAGTTTGATAATCTGGATGAAATGGACCTAGTTCTCATGGGGGAACCACAAAATAAACCCAAGAAGATATAGAAAGAATTAACAAACTTATAAATTATTACATACGATGGTCTTTATTTTTGTTTAATAATCAAATAGTAATTGCATTACCAAATTAGTAATTTTTAAATCCCACAAACAAGTTCTGGAACAGATGTTTTCACAGATAACTTTTTAAATTTTATTTTAAGCTCCAGGGTACATGTACAGGATGTGCAGGTTTGTTACATAGGTAAACATGTGCTGTGGTGATTTGCTGCACCTATCAACCCATCACGTAGGTATTAAGTCCAGCATGCATTAGCTGTTTTTTTCCAATGCTCTCTCTTCCCCCCGACAGATGCAGTTCTAATAAGTGTTTAAAGAAGAATCAGCATCAATCCTTCCCAAAATTTTCCAAAGAATAAAAAATAGTAAACACTCTGATGCCCAAATAATAAAATAACTCAAGAAAATTACTGACCAGTATCCTTTCTAGATGTAGATATAAATTCCTTGACCAAATAATAGCAAACAGGAGCTGTCACCATGTAAAAGCTATTTAGATATCTTTACCAAGAAATATTTATCTCAGAAATGCAAAGGTGGTTTAATATATAAAAATAAATCAGCATAATACCCCGTATTATTGAAGTACAAACTATTTTATAGTACATCATATTAATCATAACAAAAATGCACAGACAGAAGAAAAAGAAAAAGCACTTGAAAAATCCAACACCTTTTTATGATTCAAAAAAATACTAAAAAAATTGGAAATAGGTATGAATGTCTTCAATCTAAAATGAGCAATCTATAAAAAATTCACTGTTAGCATACTTAATGGTGAAAGACTGAAAGCTTTCTCCTTAATATTAGAAACAAGACAAGAATGTCCATTCTATCCACTTCTACTTTGACATCTTACTGAAGATAATAGCCAGGAAAATAAGCAAGATTAAAAAATACATATATATATATAAAGTTATATATAAAATATATATTTACTTCTATACATACATAATATAAAATATGTAATAACATAAATATACTTATGTATTATAGATTTATTATGGATATATATTTTTATATAGCTTAAATAATAGAAGAAAAATTTATCTCCATTTGTAGGTAACATGATCTTAGACACAGAAAATCCAATGAATCTGCAAAATTACAATTGGAGACAATAAATCAATTCAGAAAGCTTACAGGATACAGTATCAACATACAAAAACTATATTTCTATATACTAGCAATGAACAATATGAAAATGAAATTAAAAAATAAAAGAGCATCCAACAGAATAAAATTCATAGAAACAACTTTTCCAAATGAGTGCAAAACTTATACCCTCAAAATTAAAACAATTATTAATTTTCTAAAATAACACTTGAATAAGTGGAACGATCCTGTATTTATGGGTTGTTAGGCTTAATATTAAAATGGCAATCCTCCCCAAATTGACATACAAACTTGATTCAATCTCTATCCATATCCCATCTGGCTTTATTCCAAGTGTTAACAAGCTGATCCTAAAATTTATATGAAAAGCAAAGGACCTATGATAATCAAAGCAATCTTAAAAATGTGTAAAGTTGAAGAATTTACACTTCCTCATTCAAAACTTACTACAAGACTACAGTCATTAAAGACAATATAGCTAGCATAAGACTAGACACATAGATCAATGGAATAGGATTGAGATACTAGAAATAAACCTTGATGTTTATTTTCTATTGATTTTGCACAAGGGTGCCACGACAATTCAATGAGGAAAGAATATTAATTTTAGTAAATGACACTGAAACAATGGGAAATCTTCATGCAAAAAAAAAAAAATGAAGTTGGGCTGTCCCTTACAGGATATACAAAAGTTAACTTAAAATAGACCAAAGACTGAAATGTAGGATCTAAAAGTATAAAAGCCTTGGATGAAAACACAGGCATAAATCCTCCTGACTTTGAGCAAGACAATGATTTTAGATATAACTCCAAAAGCATTCCTACTGAAAAATAGATAAATTGGACTTCATTACAATTAAATATAAAACCTTTGAGCTTCAAATACTATCATCAAGAAAGTAAAAAGACAACTCACAAAATGCGAGAAAACGTTTGATATATATTTGGTAAGAAACTCTATCTAGAATATATAAAAACTCCAATAATTCAATAATAAAAACACAAAGTACATAATTTAAAAATATCATAGAATTTGAGCATTTTTCTAAAGAAGAAATACAAACGGCCTATAAGTATATGAAAAGATGTTCTACATTCTTAGTGATTATCAAAATGCAAGTTAAAACCACAATGAGATTCCACTTTGCTTCTACTAGATTGGCTATAATAAAAATAATATAAAAGAATGTGTTGGGGATCATGTGAAGGGATTCAAAGAGTCATATATTGTTGGTAGACTATTAAATGGTACAATCATTTTAGAAAGTGTTTTGTCAATCCCACAAAAAAATTAAACATAGACCCCGTGTTCAACTCTTAGGTAAACATCCAAAAGAACCAAAAACATAATACACCCATTAGAAACTTTGCACATATCATAATAGACAAAACGTTAAAACAACACAAATATCTATCAACAGAGAAATGGACTTAAAAAAATGTGTATACATACAGTGAAATAATGCTTGGAAATACAATGAAATAAAATAGTGGTACATGCACAACATGGAGAAACTGTGAAAATATTATCCAAAGTGAAATAAGCTATATACAAAAGACTACATATTATATGCTTCAGTTGATTTTAAATGCCCAGAATAGTCAAATCTATAGAGATATAAGGCAGATTAATGGTTTTCAGGGAATGTGGAGAGGCTGGAAGGGACATAAGTACTAATGCATATAGAATTTCTTTGAGGGTAATTAAAGTGATTGTGGTAAGGTTCTATAACCTTGTAATATACTAAAAGCAGGTGAATAGTTTACTTTAAAAGTGTGAGTTTTGTAGTATAGAAATGTCTCAAAAAAATAAAGGAAGTGCCATCAACACAGTTGACTCAGAAATCAGAACCTTCATCCACAAATAAAGGGCAATTCTGAAAATCTGTATTCACACAAAAGAGATTGACTCAGTTGACTCAGAAATCAGAATGTTCATCCATAAATAAAGTGCAATTCTGAAAATCTGTATTCACACAAAAGAGATTGAATATGACAGTTTCTGAGCAAGTGAAGGTTATGTTATGTAACAAATTAGGATTAATACAAGAAAACAGAAACTTCTATAGCTATTTCATGTAGAAGAATATTTTTTAATCTGTATGGTTTGTATTTATTTTAGAGGAAATTATTTAGATGTAAAATGCTTTAAAGAATAATAAACAAAACCTCTATGAATCGAACAAATACATGCCCTATTTTACTACATTACTTCATATTATTTTATTTCAATAATAAAATATTATAATTGTTTATCTGAATAAGGGATTTTTATTGATAAAACTTTCCAAAATTAAATTATAATGTTAGTTGCATAACTCTGTAAATGTTCTAAATAGCATGGAATTGTACACTTTAAGCAGGTGAATTTTATATTATGCGAACTATATACATCGATAAGTCCTGTTATAAAAAATTATAAGAAATAGATATCTTCAGGTATCTTTTGAACTTTTATCTGATTTTATTACCTTTCCCATTTACCAGTTTGCTATGATCAAGTTAGTATCCTTTCTCATAATATTTTACACATTTCTTCAATCTATAAGGAGCTTTACAAATATCATGTATTGATTGTTTACATTTAAAAAACTGAAAATGATGTCTTCTGTACATATACTTTTTCAATGACTACATTATTTAATTTTAATGTTCAGTTTTATAATTATTAATAGAAAGCAAGTTAATTTTCATCCTCTATCAAATTAATTTGGATATTCAAATATATTTATATGTGTAGTAGTGACAAGTCATATTTCACTTTTTTATGGTTGCAAATAATGCAACTATAAACATTCTTGTACATGTCATCTTTGTACATATATGTATATAGGAGAAAAAATTCAACTAGACATTCACAGTTGAAGGACATGCACATTGTCACTTACTAGATATTGACAATTTGTTCTTCATAATATTTGATTGTACCAAGAGTAGGTGATATGGTGTGGATCCATGTCCTTCCCCAAATCTCATGTTGAAATGTAAACCCCGATGTTGGAGGTGGAGCCTGGTGGAAGGTGATTTGTCATGGGGGTGGTTTCTCATAAACGGTTTAGCAAAATCCTCGTAGTGCTGTTCTTGTGATAGAATTCTAATGAGATCTGTTTGTTTAGAAGTCTGCAGCACTTTCCCTCTCTCTCTCTTCCTCCTGCTCAAGCCATGTGAAGATGCCTGCTCCTACATCTCCTTCCGCCATGATTGTAAGTTCCCTCAGGCCTCTCCAGAAGCAGACACTAACATGCTTCCTATATAGCCTGCAGAACTGTGAGCAAATATAACCTCTTTTCTTACAATTTACCCAGTCTCAGGCATTTATTTATAAAAATGTGAGAATGAACTAATACAGTAGGTTTATAAGAGAAAATGTTACTTTCTCTCTTTAGTAAGTCTTTTATTCAGGAGAGTTTAAACATGAATTATGTTTTTTAAAAAATTTCCCTGGAAATAAAATTTTCAGGTGATTCTTATATTCAAACATTACTTAGTAGACAGAAATATTCAAATAGAGACCTACACATAAAAACACATAATTTTTTAATCAAATGACTATTTTATTAATTTTTTAAAAATCTTACAACTGAATATTTAATCATTATAATTCTGGAAAAACAAATTGTTATCAATTTGTAATAGAAAAATTTCAAATACTATACAAAACTAGAATTAGTAAAATAATGAATATCCATTTGCTTTTATGACAAAAATGCTTGACAAACTGAATATTGAGGGAACATTCTTCAAAATAATAAAGTCATATGTTGCAAATCTACATACATCATACTGAACAGGGAAAAATTGAAAGCCTTCCTTCTAAGGTCTGGAACTAAACAAGTATGCCCAATTCTATTATTTTTATTCAACATAATACTAGAAGTCCTATCCAGTGCAATTAGAAAGAAGATATAAATAAAGGACACATAAATTGAAAAGGAAGAGGTAAAATTAGCCTTGCTACAGATGGCATGATCTTATATTTAGAAAACCCAAAAGCCGTCACCAAAAACTGTTAGAACTAATAAATAAATTCAGTAAAGTTTCAGGTTACAGAATCAAAACACAAAAATTACTAACATAAACAGTGAACAATCAGTTCACATAAACAGTGAACAATCAGTGAACAATCAGAAAAAGAAATAAAGAAAGTGAACAAATTTATAATAGCTACAAAAAATGTAAAATACCTATGAATAAATTAACCAAGAAGTGAAAGACCTTGGCAAGAAAAGCTATAAACCACTGAGGAAAACAAGTGAAGAGGACACAGATGAGAAGATATCCCATGCTCATGAATGGGAAGAATTAATACTGTAAAATGTCTGCTCTACCAAAGGTGATCTACAGATACAGTCAATCCCTATCAAAATATCAATAACATTCTTCACAGAAATAGAAAAAAAAATCTTGAAATATATATAGAATTACAAAAGATGTTGAATTGTCAAAGCAATCCTAGGTAAAAATAACAAGGCTGGAAGAATCATACTCTCTTACCTCAGAATGTATTACAGAGCCATAGTGGCCAAAACAGAAAGGTACTGGAATAAAAACAGACACATAAACCAATGGGACAGAATAGATAATCCAAAAATGAATTCACACTCCATTTACAGCTAACTCAATTTCAACAAGGCACCATATATTGGAAAAACAACGGTCTCATCAATTAATAGTGCTGGGAAAACTGGATATCCATATGCAGAAGAACGAAACTACATATCTCTCATAAAATCAAATCAAAATAAATTAAAGAAAAATCTAAGACCTTGAACTGAAACTGCTACAAGAAAACTTTAGGAAAATCCTCCAGGACATTGTTCTTGGCAAAGATTTTTTTAGTAAGACCTCAAAAGCATGGGCAACCAAAGCAAAAACAGGCAAATTAAATTACATCAAGCTAGAATGTTTCTGCATAGCAAAGGAAACAGTCAACGAAGTGAATAGACAAGCCACAGAATTGGAGAAAACATTTGCAAACTATCCATCTGACAAGACGTTAATAACCAGAATATATAAGGGACTGGGTTCAATAGCCCAAAACCAATTAATCTAATTAAAAATAGAAGATCTGAGTAGACATTTCTTAAAGAAAACATACAAATGGCCAACAGGTATATTTAAAAATACTTGACATCTCTAAACATCAGAGAAACATGAATAAAAACCACAATGAGACATCAACTTGCTCCAGTTAACATGGCCAGGGAATAATGGATGCTGATGCCAAGATGGAGAAAAGGGAACCCTCATACACTGTTGCAGGAATGTAATTTGTACAACCACTGTTAAAAATAGCATTAAGCTTCCTCAAAAAAACTAAAAATACAACTACCAGATGATCCAGCAGTCTCACTGCCAGGTATATACCCAAACGAAAAAAGGAAATAGGTATATCAAAGACATATCTGCACAAACATGTTTATGGCAGCACTATTCATAATAGCCAAATATAGAATCAACCTAAGTGTCCATCAACAGATGAATGGATGAAAAATATGATATATATGCACAAAGCAATATTATTCAGCCATAAAATAAAATAAAATCTTGCCATTTGCAGCAGTATGGATGGAATTGGACATCATTCCCTCCCTACTGTCTTTCTTTTCTTCCTTCCTTCCTTCCTTCCTCCCTTCCTCCTTTCCCTTTCTTCTCATTTTCTCTTTCTTTCCCTTCTTCTTTCTCTCTCTCATTATCATTTCCTCTTTGATATTGGAAGATATTAATGTGCAAAGCAGAAATGCAAACTCTATGCAATTATCAGGAGTTTTTAAATAGCAATATTCTAATTATAACTTTTATTGCCATTATTATCTGAAATAATTACATGAAGAAAATGAATGTGCTCATTAACTACTCTGTTATTGTTAGTGTAAGAAAGTACATATATATATGTTTAATTCTGTACATTTAAGCAATTTATATTTTTCTCATTTGAATAACAGATTTAAACATATTTTATGTGTTTTAATCCATTGTGCTTATTATTTATAATGACATGTTATGTTCCAACTTTTGCCAGTGAGAACATTTCTTAGTTGATAGTTGAGTCCCTTTGACATTACCCAGTGTCTTTGAAAGCTTCCTTGCTTCCTTAAATGACACAACATTGCTTGGTTCTTCCATAATTCCAGTCCAAGTCTTGGAAATAACCATTTCTCCAAGAGGTTCTGGGAAGTTTAGATACCACAATATGGATTCTAGCATGCATTTCCCATGAAAAGAAGTGGAAAATACGAATGTTTTATAAAATACAAAATGCATAATGAGTTCACACTGGTAATTCTAACTCAAGATCATTGTACAAGTTTTTATTTAATAGTTTCAATCTTACACCTGTATCACCTTTCTCCCAAGGATAAAAATGTTCAGATTTCAGTATAACTACTCATTTGATGTCTTTTGTAGTATTCACACAACAGTTTCAGAATAACAATAGACACAACTCACAATGACATAATTACTAAAACATTTATTTTTATCATAATTTATTTGATTAAGCGATATTATATTAGAAATATTTTGTCAAATTACTCTGTTTTGACATCACGTGTGATCTCCGTCTCTGCATTGTATTGCCATCTGGTCTTACAGTATTTTGTTACTTGAATAATTTATTTATTAGATTCATATAGCTTCTAATATAGATTTTTTGAAGATTAATTTTATTTTATATTTGTTTGAAATGTGTTCATGGATCCAAAGCCAAATACAGAAAACAAAGTATTTTTAAAATATAAATTTCAAATTCTGGGCTTCCGTCTTATACTATCTTATCCTGTTTATTATTATTAATATTTTAATTTATATTTTAGACCCATGTTTTTAATATAAAGGGTAACATCCTATTCACATTTAATTTTATATTGTTTTTCTTAGCAATTTATCCTGGATGTTGTCAGAAGTACCAGTAGAGGAATATTCTTTATACAATTTTACAGCTGCATATCATCCCATTGTATGGGTATACCAATGACATTCAACCAATCTTCTCTTAATGAATATCCAATCCATTTTAAATATTTTGCTATTATTAATATTACAATAAATAACCTGAATCATGCATCTTTTTCTAGTATCACCATTTGTATTTGGATTAAATTTCTGAAAGTGGCATTTCTGGATGAAAGAATCAATACATATTGAATCTTCTTTAATATTTTAATATTCCATATTGATTCCAATTTCATGCCTAGGTACTTGATTTTTATTTTTGCTATTATAAATGGGTACCTGCTTTCTATATAATATGAAGCTAAGGATTCCACTTTATTTATGAAAGCTATTGACTGTGTATTAACTTTATAAGCCTCTATTTACTAAATTTTCCCTTCTGGTATACTGGTATTTTAGTTGACTCTCTCCTGTTGTGAAGAAAAGAGAAAGCTTACTTTTCCTTTGTGTAGGGCCAATTGATAAATATAGATTTTTCTAATATTTCATAAAACTCACCTGCCCTTTATTTCCTTGGAGCTGAGTTCAGACTGCTGATCTCTCTTATTGCAATGGTTTTGAATAAAGTCTTTCTTACATATTTAATTTTGTTAGGTGCAATTTTTGCTTTGAGTTTAGTTTTCTTGTCTTATGGGCATATACTTGTTACCAGCCCTCATTGTCTATAGGGACCTTATTATGTTCTTTGGTCTTTTTTCCTAACAATAAATTTTTGTAGGATTCAATTGCAATTCTTTTTCTGCCTCTTATGTTTAGGCGATATGAGTTGCTTTGCACTTTTAACAGGAACTGGAAAATAGAATTGCTTTTCTAGCTTCAGGGACTTAGAGTTGCCTTTTTAGTTGTTTTTAAAAAGTGATAAAAAATATGTCTTACACTCTGATATTTGCCTCCTCTGATTTACCCCCCCCCACTTTTTATCTGTTTCATTACTCCTCTTTCCCTTGTTGCAGGTGTCCTGTTCAATTTAGATTATATTCCTAACATTAACTCTTCAGGGCAGCAGTTTGCCCTCAAAGGGAGCTTTTGTTTACTAGTTTCAAAAATTTACATTCCAAAGTCAATGTTTGCCTTTTCCAAACCTCTCATGCTACTTTGAAATACCCATAAATTAGAATTTGAAAAATACCGTCAGTTTTGGTTGTTGTGCTTAGATTATGCCACATCCTAGTTAATAAGAACCTGCTGGATAATTTGATATTTTCCAGTTTAGAGTTCTGTTGCTATTCTTCTGATTCTTCCAGCAAAGTATCTGATATATATTATTAGATTATTTTAGTAGCAGGAAGTTTGTACATACTACATTTATTTGATGATTTCTGGGTGTTATAGATTGAATTCATTCCAGGAAGATGAAATCCCAACCCCCAGTACTGGTGAATGTAACCTTGTTTGGAAATAGTCTTTGCCGATGAACAAGTTAAGATAAGGTCATTAGGGTGGCCCTTAACACAATATGACTGATATCCTCATCAAAAGGGAAAATTTTGTAAACAGAAATAGATAAGCATACAAGGAAAACATGATGTGAAGAGAAACAGGGAGAAGATGGTCAATAGCAAGCAAGGAATGACTGAAGCTATCAGAAGATAGGAGAGAAGCCTGGAACCAACCCTTTCCAAGAAACTTCAGGGGAGCATGTCCCTGCCAACACATAGATTTCAGACATCTGTTCTGCAGGACCGAGAGATAAGAAATTCTTTTGTTCTAAGACACCTAGATTTTGGCACGTCGTTGTGGCATCCCTAGCAAACACGGGGGTTATCTAACTAAATTTAATTGCAGATATTTTCCATGGGTATTTCGTGTTGCTATTCCAGTAACTCTGTATGTATTTTCTGGGAAATTTAATGACATTCAAAAACTGCTGCCATTATCCCCAGATAATTTCCCCTACTTAAATTTTAAACTCCTTCCTCTATTTTGTATAATTTGAAATACACAAGTCTAGCTATACTTGTCCTTCCTTATACAAGTCTATCATATTTCTAATCTATATTGCCTCTAAGAATAGGCTGATCTTTTAGCTGTTGCCACAGATCCCTACAGGTCAAAAATACCAGTTGCCACAGCAATGTTTCCACCAGTTTTGTAGCAAACAACATTGCTGCTGGTGTTTAAGTACTACCAACTGGTTTCAGCTTTTTAAAAACAAATCAAGTTAACATAGACCAATGGCAGCGGCTCTTATCATCAATTATGACCTGATAGGGCATTCTTATTGGACTACTTTTGGTTGTCAATGCCACTCACACATTGTGATATACCTTATGTTTTTAGTAAAAGGAATGTTTTCTGAACTCTTTTCAGGAGCATTGGAAGGTTTGCCCTCTGGTTTCATGTCATTTATCAATGATCATATTCCCAATTCTTAACCTTCCTCAAAGTTCCAGCAACACAGTTTTGGCATATTAACTTCAATTTACTATACCAATATATAAGTACTAGTCAATTTATTATGACTGTATCATAATATCTAACATCCCAGGAGCATCCAAGAAGCATATTAGACATGTCCCATTTTATCTGGCCAGGATATTAAATGCTGAATCAAAGGAGAGATTCCCCATGCCAATATTTTCTCCCCTATTCAGCCATATTTTTGGTTGACTCTCTCTTTTACTTGTACCTTTAAGATCCATTGCTGCGATTCCCCCATCAAACGTGCCTGTTAGTCATGTTAGCCTGGTTCGGAAATTTCTTCAATGAAAATATTATTTTACCTCAAAACAGAAAATGGCATTACCATTATTGGTCCATAGGCAATGAAAGAGTGGGAAGCACAGCTTGATGGTAAAAAATATTATTTCAAGGCATTTTATTAACGTGATAATTGGCATCTTCACTGAGCAAGAAGAGGCTGCTTTCCTCAAAAAGAAAGATGGAAAGGCAACTTCTCTTCATCCAGAATATTCATGCAAATCTGGAATTTAACAAAGACAATTTACAACACAATTGCTATATTTTACAGTTATCTCATACCATTAAAGTCTTGGAATTACTGAGAGGCCACTGCTTCTTTTTTATGTCTCATCCCAATCCAGCCACACTGAGAGAGTCTTATTAATTATGATACTATTGTGCGTCCACGTGCATACCACCTGACTTCTACTACATGCCTTTACTTGATTTTTACTATAAATGGAAACTGAGACAAAGACTTGGTTTCAGGTAAGGGATTTTGGAGGTGATGTCTGAAAGCAGAACTGACAAAATGAGATGAGTGAGACAGAAAAGTGAAAAAAGATAGTAGAGTATATATTAATGATCTGGTTAATACTATGGAAAACTGTGGCTCTGTCTTTTTCAAGACCATCTGTAGAAACATGTAGCTTGAATCTCAGAATTTTTTTTTCTAGATGTAGAACTGGGATATTTATTCACAAACTCTAACTCACTTCTTCACCCCCCATTTATTAAGGGATATCACTGGGGATGAGTTATACTTCTGTCCTCTTGGAATGCTTTCCTGGTGGGCTACGGAGACTCTCAAAGCTTTAGAGAAAATCACAAATCAGAAAATTTGAGACATATGGCAAAAACGTGAGGTTAAATGTTGCAGAAAACATGAGACCTGTTCATTAGATATGTAGCTGATGTCAAAAGTAGTAGAAGGAAATGCAACACCAAAGTAAAAAATGCCTTGCTAAATAAATAGGTAAATAAATCTAAATATCTCAAATTTCTCAAATATTTAATTCATTACCTATATAGGTTTTATTCTCAAATAAATTATAGGAAATTTTACAATGCTATGAAATACACAATCAAGTACTATAGATTTATAAAGCCAACTTTTTTAGAAAAATATTTTTAGGAGTGGGATCAAGATGGAAGGAGGTAGTATGTGCCCCCTCCATGGAGAGAAAAATGAACAGTAAGTAGATAATCATATTCAGAAGAGAACGCTAGGATTCACCAGAGAAGAGACAGGAAGCACCAGAAATAAATAAGGAGAGGATTCAAAGCAGCTTGCCCACCTGGGAACTGACTCAGAGCCAGGAGACGCTCCTGGATGTGCAGAAAAAGTATAAAAGAAACATCACTGCTTCAAACTGGGATTTTACAATCTTTGCAGTGGAAGAATTGCTCAACCCAGTAAAGCATAGGCCTGATATATGGAGCTGCCTAAAGATTGCATAGAGACATTGAAATAGAACACACACAGAATGCCACGGGCATCCAAGCCTGGAGCAGTATCAGCTTGCAACCATTGTGAGAACCCTGAAACTGGGAATCTATAGGCATGGCTGCTGCTGCTGTCTCCTCCAAGTAAGGAGAAGGGTGACCAGGTGTTCTTATGCATCTATAGTAGGGTCCCTGCCCCCTTGCTCTGGGCTGCTGTTAAGACTGAGATGTAAACAAACCACACACCCCACAGCTTCTTGCCCGTGCTGCTTTCCTGCGAGGGACTCTTCCCTCTAGTTCCAGGCCCAGGGTACAATTTTGAGTTAAACACTGAGCTGCATCCTACTCTTGGCCTGAGTTCAGGCAGACATGCATCTACAGTCACCACCCAGGCCAAGGAAGGACAGGGAAACTGGACTATCCTATGCATATCGAGGTGAATTAGTATGTTTTTATAGTATATAAGATACTACTTGAGACTGGATAATTCATAAGCAAAAGAGGTTTAACTGACTCACAGTTCTGCATGGCTGGCAAGGCCTCAGGAAACTTCAATCATGGGGGAAGGCAAAGGAGAAGGAGGCACCTTCTTCACAAGACAACGGGAGAGAGAGAGTGAAGTGGGAATTGCCAAACACTTTTAAAACAATCATCTCTCATGAGAACTCCCTCACTACCACAAGAACAGCATGGGAGAAACCACCTTCATGATCCAATCACCTCTGACCAGTTTCCTCCCTTGACACATGGTGATTACAATACAAGATGAGATTTGGGCAGGGACACAGAGCCAAACCATATCACTAGGATAAGACCCATTGACCTGCAACAGGCTGCTGTTGAGACTGATGCATGAATGCACCATACTATCCAGAGCTTATTGTTCAGGTTGCTTGCCTGGTAGGGATTCAGCCTTCTCTGTTCTCACAGTACCATTCTGAGAGTTTAATGTTGGGCTGTGCCCCACTTTCAGTACGAGTTTGAGGTGAAGCAGTTGCATCCACTACCCAACTGGAAGAGGGACAGGGGAAACCAAGTTCTCCTAAGCACACTTAAGACAATACCCATTACCTTGCTGTGGGCAGCTGTGGGGTTGTGAACCAGCCTTTCCAACAGATCTAGCTTCTACCAACAAAAATATGAACCACTTGGGTCCCAGTGGGCTGCTCCACCACTGCTGCTGCCATTACTGACACCACACCAGCTCCTCAGTGGCCTAAGAAACCACTCACACACTGGGCCCACCATTCCCACTGCTAACTTCTGAGGAGGCCACTTGAAGGCCCAAGAATCAGCCCTCCAGGACCCACTAAGTCTACAGCCAGCGTAAACTGCTCTGAGACTTACAAACAGAGAGACTTACCACACTGCTTTCAGCACTGGGGCCAAAAGACTGGCTCAATTGCCACCCAAGTCCCCAGCTAAACTTTACCACAACTCAACTGTTAACTGTACCCTAAGTCACTGAGGACATCCAGAGATCACTGACCCTGTGTACTGCCAAATAAGTCACACAAAATTCATGCTACTGCAGGCACCCAAAACAAAAGGCAAAGTATCTTACCCAATGACATACATACATCTTCAGGAAAATAAAATTTGAATGAGGAACTGCTACACCCACATATGCAGATATCAATGGAAAGACTCAAGAAACTTGAAAAAGCAGGGAAATATGACACCACCAAGGGCTATAACTATCCAGCAATAGATTCCAATTACTATTTCATATTTTCATGGTATAATGGAATATGTGAAGACTTAATATATCACTAAAATTAGCCTGTATGATTTCAAAATATTATCTTTGGACTGCTTGTGGCATTCAATGCTTTATGACATTGTATGAAGGTATTTTGCCATTTTTGGAGGCCAGTGTGATGAAATAATTCATCTATATTTCACCATTTGAAATCAAAGCCAAATAATAATTTTCATGGGAATTCCATAACTATTAGATAACCTCATCAAAGACTGAACATGCCCTAAAATAACTACACTGTTTACTTGGTCTTTGCTATAGACTGAATGTATGTGCCTACACAAAATTCAGATGTTGAAGCTGAAACCCAAATATGATGGTATTTGGAGGTAGGGCATTTGGGTGGTAATTAGGTCATACTGGTAGAGCTCTCAAAATGGGGTTAGAGCCCTTATAAAAAGAGACATGAAAGAGGAAGCTGTCTTCTCTCTTTCCCCTTCCCACCATGTGAGAACACAAGAATAAGGCCATCTGAAAATCGGGAGAACTCTCACCAGAAACTGATCCACCCAGCACCTGGATCTTGAACTTCCCATCCTCCACAACTGTGAGAAATAAGTGTTTTTTGGTTTGTTTGTTTAAATTGTCTATAGTATTTTGTTATAGCAGCCCCAAATGACTAAGAGAGCCTTAGGCCAGTCTAATTTGCACTAATGTTTATGTCTGTTGGAGTTTAATTTTTTTTTTTTGCTCTTATCGTGCTGTATTATAATTTCAACTCACCAAGACTGACCAGGATTCAGCCATACTTCACCATAGCATGAAATGAGATGTGGAAAAAATAACATAACTTCAAAAGAAAACAAAAATAACATCACAAGTTTAAAACAGTCAATAGAACTACAGGGTCTGCAGAGATAATGAAGAACATGGCTACAAAAAGTTGCCAAATCACCTCCCCAAAAAATTTAAAAAGAGCCCTGACTATGAAAATATGGAGAAAACGAACTTAATTTACCTGAAGATCCATTTGTTCCAGATCCCAATGCCTTTTTTATTTGTTTTGACACCATATAAGTCGTAACATGAAGCCACAAAAGTTTCATATTTTCAAAGCAACACTATTTCCTGTGCTCTAAGAAAGCAATTTGTGGTTTCATATAGAATAAGAAAAAAATAACACATCCAAGCTTAAAACTGATGGATTATATTACTGAGACATCATGGAAAGTTGCATTCTTAGATTAGGGGGAAAAAAGTTATGTTACACTTGCTCTAAAGCTTCTAAAAAATAGCTGCAAATGTTATGACAAATATCAGGCACTGAGAAAAAGCAATATGAGCTGTTGGCAAAACTCTTTTATCAGACAACATGTTGGGCATCACCCAATTACTATCACATTTGTCTGGCTAGAAAGTTTTTGCTTTACACTTGGATGAAACCAATTATGTATAGTGTATAAATCAGCCTTTGGCACTTTGTTTTTATATATATATATAGATATAAACTTTATATAAAAAGGCCATATCTCAAAAAAAGAGATATAGTCCCCAGATTTTGACCTATTCATCACTGAAGTGCCCCGCTATGCGACAAGAGGTTTATTTAGGGAATTATGCTATGAATTGTAATGTAGCCTAGGAAAAGATGCTTATTAGGATCAATGCCAATGAAATTATAGTTTTGTGTAAAGAAAATCGAATATTATGCAAATAACTATATGCCATTTTGGTCACAATGTAAAGATGTTGGTCAACAATATATTGCCTTTAAATTTGTTTTAATAAATTAAACATTTTATAAATCTTTGCTTTAAATGTCCATAATATTTGTAGTTTGTATGGCAAAATTTAATTTAGTGGATTATGGGCACAAGATACATGCAAAGTTTTACTGCTTCCTAGTATTGCAAGTTCAATTACTAATATTCTCTCAATCTAAGCTTATGAAACTCTATATTGAGATAAAGCTAAAAAATTCATACAGTTGCTCTGAGGAACAAAAGGTTATATACAATGTCTCAAATATTACAAAATTAAATTTTCTGCTAAGAAACACATTTACATATATAATTATATACATGAGTTTGTGAATATATAGGCATATATACATGCATATATTATATCTACACATTTACTTATTTATTCATTTACTTACCTATTTTTATATTTTTAAAGAGTGTGCCCAGTCAGAGATCAGAGAATGATTATTCCTTAAAAGAAATAAACCTAAGCACACTTCGCTGTCTCCATAAGAATAAGCTTTCTGGGCACACTTATGCACTCTTGGTGGGAATGTAAATTAGCTCAGCCACTGTGAAAAGCAGTTCAGAGATTTCTCAAAGAACTTAAAACAGAACTACTATTTGGCCCAGCAATTACATTACTGGCTATATATCCAAAAGAACATAAATCATCCTACCAAAAAGACACAACCACTCATATGTTCATCATAGCAAAATTCACAAGAACAAAGACAAAAAACAAAGAATCAACCTAGATGCCCATCAATGATGGATTGGATTGAGAAAATGTGGTACACATTATACACCATGGAATAATATGTAGCTACGAAATCATGTCTTTTGCAGCAACATGGATGCAGCTGGAGGTCGTTATCCTAAGCGCATTAATGCAAGAACAGAAAACCAGATATCACCTGTTATCACTTATAAGTGAGAATTAAACATTGAGTACACATGGACATGACAATGGGAACAACAGATACTGAGGACTACTAGAGGGAAAAGGGTAGAAGGAGGACAAAGGTTGAAAAACTACCTCTCTCTTAGGTGCTATGCTCACTACCTGGGTGACAGGATTATTTGTACCCCAAACCTCAGTGACACTCAATTTACCCATGTAACAAACCTTCACCTGTAATTTCTAAACCTAAAATAAAAGTTGAAAAAAAAAAGACTTTTCTCTTTTGTGTCTTCTCGTTTTAACTTTACAACTTTTTCTATATAGCACTAGAGACAACAATTGAAAAGGTATTTATAGGACTTTGAAATAATTAGGAAAATACTATTAGAGATTAAAAGATATGAAGATGACCTAGGTGGGATGAAAGATTAGTAAAATAAAATCTTTGAGCATAGAAATATTTTTAGTGTATATGAGCCATTCATTTTAAAATAAAGTTTATCACATTGATGCATATTAATGTGGCCACTAAAATAGAAAATGCTGCATGAATTATATACCAAAATATCACACATTATTTATTATTTTTAGATATATTTTGTTGTGTACTGATAATATAAAAAAGAAATAAATATTGGATAAAAGTGAAAATACAATAATATTAGATATAGTTTCAATATTTGGGTTAAATAAATTGTTTTCAATTGTACCTGGCTTTTCAGTTTCCACCTTCTCATTTTTTCCAGTACATTCATTAATCTCAATATTCAATATGAAGAATTGATAAGAAAAGTTTAATTAGTTTATTTGTAATTAGTCTGGATATGGGAGATCAAAATGTAATAAAAATATAATTTTTCTATAAAGTAAAAATATCTATTCTTTGAATTTTATTAATATTTTAAAATATCTTCTCAGCATATGAAGCATTTAAATTATACCATGAGCAAACTAAAAAAAAAATCCCAACAACTCAAGTTTATTTAGACACGCCTTTATTTGCACTTGAATATAATTTAATGACTATCAAAGAAATGAATAATTTCAAGATCTCTTTCCATGTATTGTAACTTTTCTTTAGTTAGCATTTTATAAATCACTGCCAAAATAATATATAGTTTCATGTTTGTATTAAAGAATTTCATGTGCTTAGTCAATTCCCTTTTAAAGTATCCATAACATTAGTGTAATTTTCAAATGGACCATAACAAAAATCACTTATTGACCATAAGTTATAATACATAATTACATAATGTAAATATTAAAATATATAAATGTATAATACACAATATAAATATTAAAATATATACATGCTCATCAAATGAGAACTGGCCAAGTAAAATTCAAATAACGACTTTGATTCAAATTCCCATGTTGGTAGTTTTCCCAGGAAAATCCTTTTCAATGTTCTAAGCCACCTTTCATCCTTCTTATCATACTTAAGTATTTGTTTCTCAGTCAACAACCTACTAAGGTAAAAGAATCTCATAAGGCTTTAATTATAAACAGATTGACTTCGTTATAATGCTGCTGTTGCAAAGCAAGTACACATGCTTGAAGTGTTAAATTTGTAATTTTCTTTTAACAGTAGAGTTTCTAACACATAGGTATTTATTTGCACATAGATAATCTATGGCCACCTCTGGTCAATCCATGATTATACTAAATTGACCTCATAAAAAGACTATTGGAAAAAGTTCGTCTTTGCTGTCACAACTGCACCTGCCACAACTTCAGCAGGATCCCTAGCCTTAAGCTGTTGACATAATTAGGCTGATTCATTCAGGTAATTTTGCAGAAACAGTTTTTTAGTAATTAGTCTGGATATGGGAGATCAAAATGTAACAAAAATATAATTTTTCTATACAGTAAAAAGAATATTCTTTAAATTTTATTAATATTTTAAAATATCTTCTCAGCATATGAAGTATGTAAATTATACCATGAGCAAACTAAAAAAATACTCCCAACAATTCAAATTTTCTTCTGATGGGAGATACAGAAAAAATGATATTTACTATTTTACAGCTATTTGGTCCAGGCAGGATACTTCACTTAGCCACATGCAAAAATATAAAATTGGACCCATATCTTACATTATACATAAAAATTAATTTCACTTAGATTAGGCTCTTAAATGTAATATCAGAAATTGTACAACTTCTAGAAGCACAGGCAACAACAACAACAAAAAATAGGTAAGTGGGACTACATCAGGCTAAATAGCTTCTGCACAAAAAAGGAAACAATCAACAAAATGAAACCTACAGAATGGTGGAAAATATTTGCAAATTACATATCTAATATGGAATTAATATCCCAAATATATAAGGAATTCACATAATTCAATAGCAAACATAATTAATGGCTCAATTAAAAATGGTCAAAAGACTTGAACATATATTTCTCAAGAAGACATACAAATGGCCAACAGGTATATGAAAAGATGCTCAACATTATTGATCAGGAAAATGCAATCCAAATCACAATGAGATGTCACCTCAAACTTGTTAGGATGGCCATTATAAAAAAGGTAAAATTAAAAAAAAACTGTTAGCAAAAAGGTGGAAAGATTGATACCCTTTTATATTGCTGGTGGGAATGTAAAAATGGTGCAGCCACTACGGAAAACAATTTGGAGATACCTCAAGAAAATAAAAATAGAGCTATCATAAGATGCAGCAATCTTAATTTTGAGTATTTATTCAAAATAATTAAAACAGTGTCTCAAATAGAGATTTGCACTCCTATGCTCATCACAGCATTATTCACAATAGCCAAGATGTGGAAGCAATCTTAATGTCCATTGATGGATTAACGAATAAATCAAATGTGGTATATTCTTACAATGGAATATTATTATTCATTCTTAGAAAAAATCCTATCATATGTGACAACATAGATGAACACTGCATACATTATGCTGAATGAAATAAGCGAGTAAGAGAAGGAAAAAAAAAAACACATGATCCCACTTACATAAAGTATCTAAAGTAGCCAAACCCATCAATCAGACTGGAAAGTAGAGTCATAGTTGCCAGGGGCTGAGATATGAGGAAATGGAGATTTGCTGATCACACTGTATAAAGTCTGATTATTCAAGATGAGAACGTTTTAGAGATCTTCTGTGCAACATTGTACTTATAGTTCACGATACTGTATTGTAAACTTACATATTTTTTAAGATGGTGGATCTCAGGGGTGTGTGTGTGTGTGTGTGTGTGTGTGTGTGTGTGTGTGTTTCACCACAATAAAAGAAAATAATACAGAATCTACCTTTATAAAATGAAAATTAGCTTTTCTTGGGTAAACACTCTCTAATCTAATTTTTAACCTTGAATTCAGTTTGCCTCTTTTGACTTCTATTTTTATTTACCTTATGCATCTTTGCCAACACATTTTCTTTTTCTTTACATTTTAAACTTCCTATAATGGAAGATTCAAGAATACCCATAAGTGGTGAGAATGATAATATAATAATAATATTGATAATGAATTGATAATTATGATTGCCCATACACCATCAACCACCTACTACAATTACACACTAATAACCAAGCTTGTTTGATATGTTCCTAGACATTGTACTAAAGACCTCTGCATTACAACTTGAATAGTATTAAAGTTAGGCAAAATAACATTGCATCTGCAAACATCTATAAGAGATCATGATTCTTTTTAAAAATCACAATCATAATAGCATTCTCACAACTTACAAAAATAGCATCAATCAATCTCATCAAATACTCGTTCAAAAGTAAATTTGTCTTTGTTTTGAGATAATGTGTTCTGTGAATAAAATCTCTGTTTAAAAAAATAAGCAATTTTATTTCTTCATTCCTGAGATATGTGTCTTTTATGTATTTTTCTTCTTTTATATTCTGGCTAGATATTGTAGCACAATTTTGAGCAGAAGTAGTTCAGAAAAAAACCTTTTCTTTGTTTCTAGTTTTAGGGGCAACACGATCAGTCTTTGCCATTAAGTAATTAAATTTTATTAATATTTTAAAATATCTTCTCAACGTATAAAGTACGTAAATGTTAGTTGTAGGTTTTAAAATATTTATTGTTAAGTTGAGAAAGTACCCTTATATTATTAGTTTGCTTAAGAGTTTTCATCATGTATGTGTCATTATATCAAATGATTTCCTTTGTCTGCAATGATTGAAATTATCTTTGTTTTTCTCCTTTTTTCTGTTTATATTTAACACGGATAATCATACTGATTGATTTCCTATTGTAAACAAATTTTCATTCCTGAGATAAGAATTATTTGGTTATTTTTCTTAATGCAGGTTTCCTATAAGTTCCTCTGCAAGTAGCTTTAGCAGACATTGATAATCATATTATAGATCCCTTATTTCATTATAAATCGAAAAATTGGGATAGTATCATTCCATCATCAGTCTATCACATCATTGTCAATTATCAGGTAGAATACTACTATAAACAAAATCTACTTCATCTTCAGTTCATTATGATAACTCCAGATCAAATTTGGTAATAAGATTATTTGATTTTATTTTTATTTATCTCTCTTACCTCTTATATGGAAATATTAGTTTCTAATGACACTGTTACTTATTTATTTTTTAATACATATATATTTTAGAATAAAATAATGTTAATATTATTTCTGACCATTTTTGAAGCCTAATTATTTTCCATCTTTTGTTATAAATGTGCTTTGAGTATATTTCTTAGTTCATAAAAATTACATACTTTGGGCTTTAAATAAACTATTTTCTTCTGACAGAAAAGCATAGCTATTGTCTGTGATCATCCAAATACAATCCTTTAGCACTATACTGATACATTCCAAATTGAACAGGGCACCTTTCTGCATGACATCATTCCCACCACATATGTTTTGGACTCTTCAGTTAAATACCAGGAATCTTCAATAAGCTGAATTATAGAGCAGTGCTGTATTTTTACCCTCCTGGAAACTGTGATTTGTGATGATAAAACCCTTAAAGGTGGCTTTATTAATAATTGAAAGAGATCATCCGCACGATTCCACAAGTAGGAGAAGCACAAAGAATGGTTGTTATGACCAAAATAACTTCTCTGATATGTATCCTGTTGTGCTACGTATGCCTGCCATGCCAGCAAGTGTATGTCCACGTAATACTGGAGGTCATTCGTGAAAAACACCTTATCTGTTTTATTATATTTTTTTCCATCTTATGAGTCAGAGCAAACTTCACCTTAAGTCTGTCCATAATTTATAGGGATGCTTGGTTTCAGCAACATCAGGTAAAATAAAGATACTATTTCTCCATTCTGCAATGTGTTCTCAAATTCATTGCAGAACTGCTGTTTCTGTACATAAGTCACTCACAGAAAGATCAAAGAATGCTTATATCTGGAAAACAAGTAAGTTCATAGTGATTAGGTGATCCACTTCAGTAACTGAAAACTTATGGGCAACTAGTTTTACATAAAGATTTATGGTTTTTTTTCCTCCTTTCCTTTCTTTGATGTTTGCCAGCAATTCTGTCCTCTTCTCTCTCTCTCTGTTGTTCTTTCTCCCTCTCCTGTTTAAATTTTAGAATTATACTGACATTTCTATACCACCAGTGTAGAGATTGTTTTCTTTAAAAGCCAGAATTAAATGTATATTATATTAATATATTAAATTCCCACTCTCTTGAAATTTTAGAAATCTATACCTTAGCTGTCACCCATCTTCACCTCAGCCTAACTCCCATGGTTCTGTTATTTGGATTTTTTTGAGATTTTAGAATATTTATCTGTTAGTCATTTACTTACTATTCTTATCTTTACTTTTCTGATTCAATAACTTTATTACAAATTTTACACTGTAACTCATAATTATTCACTAGATTTGACTATAAAATATAATATCAGTTGGTCACCATTAGTTCATGTACTAATGCCTAATTCAATGTCTTGTTTTGATTCATTTTTAAAATCTCTTTATAGATATTGTTTGTATACCCTATGAGCCTCTCTATATCCCAAAATTGTTTTTCCTTTCTGACAGATGACTAATTTCACTTCTGGATATATTGGGTACAACAGTTCTTTTTTCTTAGTAATCTACAGTCATTGTTCTATTGTCTTCTTGCTGCAAGTTATTCATATGAGAATTCCAACCTAATTGATTCTGTTTTCTTTGATAGCACCATATAGATGAGATTTTCACTTTTAAAAAAGTATCTATTTTTCTTATTATGAAAACACAGATACCCAAATTTTTACATTTGTAAATATGAAATATGTTAGATTGTATTGCTACTCAACATATATTCAATTTTGCTTTTTCTGAGGCATCCCTGACTGAGAAAGGCTTATGCATTCCCATTCCATTCCTGTCATGATAACCCATGCGGCCTGCTTTGTCTAATGAAATATATGTGAATGTGATCAATTCCAGTTGGAAGTTTTAAGCCAGTGCTTGGCTAATCAAATCTCTTTCTCCTTTTATGTGAGCTGAGTGATCTTCCAGCCAGTGGCTACTCTTTCAGCCTGGGTTTCCCGAGTGAAGGTCACTTGGAGGTGAACAACAAGCAAATTAGTGATGGACACATTAAATACAAAAGATTATTGCTTTAAGGTGGAAACATTATGGATTATGTATTATCTCCCTATTAATTAGCTTATCCAGACTCATTCAGAAATTGGTAGAAAAGTTTGGTGCAGCAATAATAAAAAGCTTAACCTAGATGCATGCCTTTGTGGTAGGCAGTAAGCAATAAGGGAAATTTTATTGAAAGTTCAAAACATATTAAGCAATAAAATCTATATTCAGCAATAACAAACATTTAATAATAATGCCTGAGAAAACAGAGAAAGATAATAATGTACCACATGAGCTGGTGGCTTACAAGAAGCTATTTGAAAACAGAATGTTGTAGAATGCCTCACATATTTTAGCTAAATTTGAAAAAAAAATGAAACTATAAGAAAGAAATTATCTCATAAAATCTAACCTGCATGTGAGAAGGAAAGGGAAAGAAGAAAATTCAGGAATTTAGAAATTTGAAGAGATACAAGTTATAACTTATTCTTGTCTCCAACTGGCAATGATAAAACCTTGAGTGGTAGAGAGCAATTAATACTCAGTTTATCAAGGGTTGTGGTCATTACACAATTTGTTAAAATTCAGAATGAATTGAATTAGAAACATGAAAATTCTTTTAGTTGGAAAAAATGGCTAAGAAAAAAGAAAATAAAGTTATGACTTCCCTTTGATGTCTAACAGATGCCTGCAAGTAGCATTTTAAAAAGACAAGCGTGATAAAAATAATAGTGGTTTTGGTTCTCATTACACAGAACTAACTGGAATCTAACAGCTAAGAAACCAACAAATGTATTAAAAAAGGTGAACACCGCGTGAGGCCAAGCGCGGTGGCTCATGCCTGTAATCCCAGCACTTTCGGAGGCCAAGGCAGGCGGATCACGAGGTCAGGAGATGAGACCATCCTAGCTAACATGGTGAAACCCCGTCTATTCTAAAAATACAAAAAATTAGCCAGGCATGGTGGCGGGTGCCTGTAGTCCTAGGTTCTTGGGAGGCTGAGGCAGAAGAATGGCGTGAACCCGGGAGGCGGAGGCAGATCTTGCAGTGAGCCGAGATGGCGCCACTGCACTACAGCCTGGGCGACAGAGCGAGACTCCATCTCAAAAAAAAAAAAAAAAAAAAAAACACGAAAGAGGTGTTCTGTCAAATAGCCATCAGTCTGGTTTAAAATACTGTGTAATTGCTTGATATTTAAAACAAGCAAATAAACAAACAAAAACACCTTTGGGCCCCCAACATACTACAGAAGCTAACTAAATAAGATAAGAAATTCCACACTTCCCAGATATGGATATCCTTAAGTGCTCTTTTCAGGTGCCATCAAAATGAAAAATGAAACAAACAAACAACAACAACACCAAACTCTTCCCAGAAGATGGAGTTAAAAACCGCAGTAACAGGGGATTAGATGCACGCAGGTCCTGATAAATATTCCCCACCACCCAAAATGGGGGAAGGATTTGCATGTTATATGGGTGGAATTTAAAAATTTACATGTGTCAGTGATGGATGTGTTTTTCTTTTTTTATTTTTCTTTCCAAATGTGATTCTTTAATATGATTATCTTCTTCTTTCACTATTAGTTGGGCTTGTGGAGGACAGGAACCTGTTATAGTTTACAGGTATCTAAAAAGGAGGGAACAAATATAATACTCATGTAGACAACATCATGAAATCAGTTAGTATAATTACATAAGTGTATATTCTAGCACATGCTGTTGAGGCCTTGCCTCTAGAACCTGGGTGCTCCTTGCTACCATGTCTTGCTGCTGAGAACACCTGTGCCTCTGCCTAAGGCTTTTCTCTGGGCTGCTTGGTGGATAAAAATCTCAGTTTTGTAGCCCTTGTATGAGGCGACTCAGGCATACTCTGAACTGTCACCCAGAGGGCCCCAGTTCTCCCTAGTGGTCATCCACTCACTAACATACCTTGCATTGACTAATTTCCCTCATCTCTCAGTCTTTACTGTACTCCACAAATGCTTTCTGGGATCGCCTTCCAATAAATCCTTCATCTTCAAATTCTTGTCGCAGGGTTGGCTTCTGGGTAAGTCCAAACAGACATATGTACACGTATGTAAACACACAAATACACCACACTCACAACCCCCCCCACACACACACATATAAATATATAAAAATACACCCTTTCAATGACTTTAGGGCTACAACCTAACTGACATGGGAAGTGGAAAGATATGAGTATTTTCCTAATATATTAATTCTAAAACTTCAAACTATATTTAAACGTTTCAGTAGATTCGATTTTATGTAAGATGTTTAAAATGTCAAGTTAGTAATTTTAATATTGGTTTTCTGTTAAAAATCAAATGCTTCAGCTGAGTAAATATTTATTTCAGTTGATTTGAGAGCCCAATGAGTTTGAGTATTGCAAGATCAGGTAAAAGAATTGCTATTCCATGGAAGTTCTCTGCTGCTGAACAGTTATTGTGCAGTGAAGAAGGAGTTTCAGAAACAAATGCTTTCTCAAAAAATGTGGACAGTTCTTGATTATTTTCTAAGCTTTCCATTTGAAAAAGTTATATTTCACTTTGATGACAATAAATCATTGTGGACAGTTGAAAGCATCGTAATACTTAAAAATAAGCATTATGGCTGGTCTACAAAGTCGGATATTATGTCTTGTGAATGTATATAATAACATGTCTAAGAAGAAATTTTGTAGACATATTGCTTATTAAGAAATTATCCTGCAATTCATATAAAGTGGTCTATGATTATTAGAGCTTTAATGTTATTTTATTTGTAGTCCTTACCTTCTTTTCTTATGCGATATGTGTAAAATTTAAACAAGAAAAAAATTATGTAATTGCATATCAAATAGTTTGTAAATGCTATTTCTCTTTCTGTATTTTGTTATTTTTTTCAGTAAACTTTTGTTAGAGAAAAGCATTTATCACATCCTTAACATACTTACATTACCAAATATATTTAATTTTCTGGCATTGGACACAAACAAATTACCACCACAGAGTATATATCAAACACCAACTCACACAGAAAGCTGGATATCTACCTGAACTAATTGGATATTGCTGGTTAAAAACATTGTTCATATTTTTCTAACATTGTTTTCAAAATTATTTTGATTTTAGTTCATATAGTTGTTATAATTGCATGTACTTTTAGCCATGTTGTTTTAAATTATAACGGAAAGTATTTTGCCAGTTATTGGTTGGATTTGAATTTACTTCCAAATTCTATTCATTTCCTTTAAATAGGCCTCTAGTTTGCAATGGAAAGTGAGTAATAACATTACCTAATGTGAATTTTTCTGCCTTTCCACTAGGCATCTAAAAAATTGCAGTTAAAATTGCAATTAAAAAGTACTTTACCTCTATGTAACACTGATATATGAGAAAGGCAACTTATCCAACTCTCAGAAAAAGATACACCATATAAAAAGTAAATGGAAGTAGAGTACATGGAAAGAATGGTGATGTATTTTGGCCCACAAAAAAAAAAGAGTAATCGTATGTTCCTTTGAAGCAACATAAGAAAACCTCTTCCTTCTGTACTGCTTGCTTTCTTTATTATAACAAACGCACCAATCAACAATCTCTGAAGGTCAGAAGAGTTGCATTTAAGATAGCCAGTGAAATATTTAAAAATGGCTTCTATAATGTAAGAGGCCATAAAGCAAAAAGGCAGAAAGCAGAAATATAGGCAATATCAGAAGTATATTGAAATTTGAAAGTTATAATCTCTACAAGTACATAACAGGGGTTGGAAAGAGAGCAGAGGTTGTTTTAATGACAGAGGCAGAAGAAACCTTCAAGTTCTGTATGCCAGCTATGTGATTTTATATATGATTCATCAATTCCCAGTGACTGAGAAAGTCATAAAGTAGGAAATAAAGATGCTTATAATCATACCACTTAAAAATAAATGGAAAGTAAACTATTCCCAATTCATGAGTGACTCTTTGTTAGGCTAGAACTCATTTTAGCTCATTTAAAATAAGCGTCAAGTCAGAAATCTCCAGACTGCAAAATATCGTGAGAACATTTAGTATTATTTCTGCTGATTGTTCCTGTACAGAACACTGTCATGACATTAACATACCGCTTTAGTGGTTTCAGACCTTCGCTTATGAAATTCTAATCTTCTTTGCGAGGTCGAGTCATTTTTCTGTCTAATCAGAGTCAGACCTCTCTCAGCAGTTTATGGGGCAGACACAAAAAATTTGCCAGTAGCCGCTCATCACCTCCCAGATTTGTATGTATTCCAAACCTTGTAACAACCATTCTAAAGGAAAAGTGATCGGCAGTGATAGGAATCAATCATAACTCCATTATCCATTTGTGGTAGATGAAATGAGCAGAGACTTCCGTGTTATTTAGAATCAGCTTTCAGCAACAAGCGGGTACAATTTTTATATAGTGATTTCTTGGAGAACAATGAAAGCATTTCATGTTCAATTTATTACAGTAATTTGAAATTCATATATCAGAGAAAGGTTGACATGGATCTTGCTGGGACTTCCTCAAAAACAATAATGATTAACAGTCATCATTTCTTATTCTCATCTTTTTCAAAGAGAGAAGGAAGAAGTCATTAAATGTGTTGTGAA
The DNA here is from genome assembly GCF_000001405.40 of Homo sapiens. Taxonomy (NCBI): domain Eukaryota; kingdom Metazoa; phylum Chordata; class Mammalia; order Primates; family Hominidae; genus Homo; species Homo sapiens. Next base: position 18,903,203 of record NC_000005.10, on the reverse strand, counting down.
TGACAGGATTTCTAATCTATGAAAGAGGGTTTGAAAGGGATTTTCTGCAACAACTTCCACCATCTTTTTCTTTCTGTATAAATCCACATTTATTAATATTTTAATCGGCATTTAAAGCTACATACAATTTTATATTCTTATGATCGATATCTTTAGCATTATAATGTCAGTATTTTCCATGTTATTAAATGATCCTTAGCACATAATTTTAAATGTAACCTGATAGTCCATCATATGGATTTGGAATGATTCAATTAAATATTCTCCTATTGTTAAAAAGAGGCCGGGCGCGGTGGCTCACGCCTGTAATCCCAGCACTTTGGGAGGCCGAGGCGGGTGGATCATGAGGTCAGGAGATCGAGACCATCCTGGCTAACAAGGTGAAACCCCGTCTCTACTAAAAATACAAAAAAATTAGCCGGGCGCGGTGGCGGGCGCCTGTAGTCCCAGCTACTCGCTGAGGCAGGAGAATGGCGTGAACCCGGGAAGCAGAGCTTGCAGTGAGCAGAGATTGCGCCACTGCAGTCCGCAGTCCGGCCTGGGCGACAGAGCGAGACTCCGTCTCAAAAAAAAAATAAAAAAAAATAAAAAATAAAAAAAAAAAATAAAAAGAGTTCTTGTTTTTATAATTAATGTTGTAAACATTTGTGGATAAAATATGTTCTTAGCATGAATAACTAAAAGTTGAATTATTGAGAAAATAATGTCATTATCTGAGAGTTTCATTGATATTGAATATATTTTTGTGAAGACTAAGCATATAGGAGAGTTTCTATTTCATCTATTTTTTCTATGATAAATCATTTTGTAACTTTACCTCCTCCAGTCATGTTTCTTCCTCTTCTTTCTTAACTCAACTCTACCTGGATTGACCCAACCAGTGAGATAATTATCATAATTATTTATTTATTTTAAGTGCTTGCTAGTTGTGAAACACTTTATCAAGTAGTTTATATTTATCAATGAATTTAATTCCTATTTTAGAGATAAGGATACTGAGACACCAAGACACACATAATAAGCTTCCCAACGTTCCCTAACCAATAAATAGCAAAGTTTGAATGCAAAAGCAAGGCAACTATCTTTAAACACTATATTTGTTGACAATAGAGTGTGGTCTCTGATTAAAGCCCCAATACCTGGAGGTGGACTTTTGTTTTATAGGAAATCAGGACCAATGCTGGGACCAGTAGGGAATTTACATACACACAAGGTTTCATGGTTCTGAAAATTGCTTACCAGCATGAGGCCCCAAAGGCTTCTAGGCAACACTTATTATAGTGAATAAGGCTGAGAAGGAAGCCAGTTGCCTGGAGGAGACTCAGCTAGACCTGGGCATATTCCACATCATCTCTGACCCTGTTGACATTGATGACACCTGTGAACTGGATGATGTGCTAATTTCTTTATTTTATTTTATTTTATTTTATTTTATTTTATTTTATTTTATTTTATTATTATTATACTTTAAGTTTTAGGGTACATGTGCACAATGTGCAGGTTAGTTACATATGCACACATGTGCCATGCCGGTGTGCTGCACCCATTAACTCGTCATTTAGCATTAGGTATATCTCCTAAAGCTATCTCTCCCCACTCCCCCCACCCCACAACAGTCCCCAGAGTGTGATGTTCCCCTTCCTGTGTCCATGTGTTCTCATTGTTCAATTCCCACCTATGAGTGAGAACATGCAGTGTTTGGTTTTTTGTTCTTGCGATAGTTTACTGAGAATGATGATTTCCAATTTCATCCATGTCCCTACAAAGGACGTGAACTCATCATTTTTTATGGCTGCATAGTATTCCATGGTGTATATGTGCCATATTTTCTTAATCCAGTCTATCATTGTTGGACATTTGGGTTGGTTCCAAGTCTTTGCTATTGTGAATAGTGCTGCAATAAACATACATGTGCATGTGTCTTTATAGTAGCATGATTTATAGTCCTTTGGGTATATACCCAGTAAAGGGATGGCTGGGTCAAATGGTATTTCTAGTTCTAGATCCCTGAGGAATCACCACACTGACTTCCACAATGGTTGAACTAGTTTACAGTCCCACCAACAGTGTAAAAGTGTTCCTATTTCTCCACATCCTCTCCAGCACCTGTTGTTTCCTGACTTTTTAATGATTGCCATTCTAACTGGTGTGAGATGGTATCTCATTGTGGTTTTGATTTGCATTTCTCTGATGGCCAGTGATGGTGAGCATTTTTTCATGTGTTTTATTTCTTACCATGAGCTGTCTGTTAGTCTTCGTGTATCTGAGATTCCAAATAGGCAATTTAATGGTCTAATTTAATAGGCAAGTAAATTAAGAATTAAATTAATATAAATTAAATTAATACATTAAGATTAATTAAGAATATTAATATATTAAATTAAAAATAATTTTACTTCTTTAAAAGTATGAAATCTTTAAAATTATTAAGAAGTATAAAAGTATTTACTTCTTAAAATATTTAAAAATATATATTAAAGCTGGGTGTGGTGGCTCACAACTGTGATCCCAGCACTTTGGGAGGCTGAAACGGGTGGATCACTCAAGGTCAGGAGTTCGAGACCAGCCTCCTCAAAATGGTGAAACCCTGTCTCTACTAAAAATACAAAAATTATCCAGGCACGCTGACGTGCACCTGTAATCCCAGTTACTGAGGAAACTGAGGCAGGAGAATCTCTTGAACTCGGGAGGAGGAGGTTGCAGTGAGCCTAGATGGTGCCACTTGCACTCCAGCCTGGGCAACAGAGCGAGAAACATACAAACAAACAAATAAAAACAAAACAAAATGTTAAACATAATCCATATTATTATTTTATAATTCAGAAAATGAAGGACAATGTATAAAATAATTGTCAATTTCTAAAATAATATCATTTATTTAGAAAATTAACATGAAAAAGATGACTACTTTTATTTTAAGAAACAAAGAAATATGTGAATAAATTAGGAAGTTTTGGATAGATAAACAAACTGAAAAGAGATTAAATCCTTTTCATCATAAAATATATGAGTGTTATGATTACAATTTAAGTCCTAATGGGAGTCAAAGAAGTTAAAGTGATTCTTCATTTCATATGAAAATTAGAGTAAAAAAAATAGTTAGAATGAATAAGACCTAGTATTTGATAGCACAAAATAGTGACAATAATTGATAATAATTTAATTTACATTTTAAAATAACGAAAAGAGTATAATTGATTATTTGTAACACAAAGGATAAATGCTTCAGGGGATGGATACCCCATTCTCCATGATGTGATTATTACACATTGTATGCCTGTATCAAAATATCTTATGTACCCAATAAATATGTACACCTACTATGTGTACACCTACTGTATACCCCTAAAAATTAACAATTAAAAAATAATATTTAAAAAGTAAATTAGTTCTGATAAATAACAGTGACTACAAATAGGCAACTTTAAAAAATTTTTTTATTTTTATTTTTCATTTTTTGAGACGGAGTCTCACTCTGTCTCCCAGGCTGAAGTGCAGTGGTGCAATCTTGGTTCACTGCAACCTCTACCTCCCACATGGGTTCAAGAGATTCTCCAGCCTCAGCCTCCCGAGTAGCTGGGATTACAGGCATGTGCCACCACGCCCAGATAATTTTTGCATTTTTTAGTAGAGACAAGGTTTCACCATGTTGGCCAGGCTGGTCTCAAACTCCTCACCTAAGGTGATCTGCCCACCTTGACCTCCCAGAGTGCTGGGATTACAGCTGTTAGCCACCACGCCCTGCTGGCAACTTTTGAATAAAGTGAATTGTTAATGTGGTAAATACATACATATTTACACATACAGAGACACGATGAGAAAAACGAGAATCCTGGCATAAGAAAAGGAAGACATATTCATGGAACATTTTATTTAGAAGCTAAAATAATTTTATATGTTGAATATGTGATGAAAGCAGATTTTAGAGCAGTAATAGATGACGTACTTTTGAGTAAAAAAAAATCATTACCAAAATTGATTAATGTTGATGAAGGTAATCATGTACTCTGCAGCATTCACTAAATATTTACCCAAATGATAATATTTCAAGTCAATTATAGACTTGAGTATATATAAAAATATATATATTTATATATAATATATAAATAGATATAGAAATGAAATATAAATTTTATTTTAATTTATAGCTATATTTATTTATTTATATAGAAATAAATGAAATATATAATTGGGCAACAATATGAAGAACACAGGTAAATATTCATTTTGCCTAATAATTATATCTACAAATATCAAATTGTAACTTTTAGTTACTTTTGTAAATTGTGTATAATATTTCTAAAGTATTTTAAATTCTTAATTTCTGGAAAAGCTAAATGCTTTGGGGTTTACTTAAGTTTAGTATTTTCTTCTGAGAATAGAATATTCATTCTCTTTTTATTCTAATGTGTACTAGGAAAACTGCCATTCCCATTATGGAGGAGGTAAGGCAGAAAATTTGAAAAAAGTACAACTCGTACTTTCTGTCAGCATCACTCTTGTCAGTAGATCTAGTAATAAATAAATAGCAGACAGAATAGTTGACCTATTAAGATTTTATAAACTACTAAAGTATCCAAAGTAATACGAGTATTAAGAAAATGAAAAGAGAAATAATGTGAGAAATATAAATGTATTTTTTTATTTTTTGACCAAAATCTTTGAGATTTAAACAAAATAGAAAAACAAAACTTTTTTTCTTACATGTTCCAGATTTTCTGACCCAAAATTATCTGGAACTTGGGACAATTACTGGAGAATAAAATGTAGCGTTTTACAGTGAATCATTACTTCTTATATTTTAGTTTTTATGTAGGCACTCCCTTAAATATGTATTTGGATAATTGAAACAAAACTTATGTCCCAGAGTAAGGTTCTGATTCCTAGGAATTTTTGCGCAGTCAAATATTTGACTACCATAAACTCTGGGTAATTTAAAAACAGATATGATAAATATTAATTTTGTTTGCAAATGAATGCACAAATTTAAATCCTTAATTATGAAATCTTATATTAACAAAGTATTAAATCAATGATAAATTGATGTGCATCCATGTATGTGAAGATATATAATTGTATTACTCTTTGTGAATAAAACAAAACAAATACGTAGGCCTCTGTTATTCTTCCCTTGCCTGTACTCCATACCTAAAAATGTGAGTAACTGCAAACATGGAAAGACTTACATTAGTCTCCAAAGCTCTCTTCTTTTCTCTCAACTCTCAGAAAACAGGTAAATTCCAGAAACAATGTTTGTCTTTTTGTCTGATTGTTAGTATAAACAAAGTTAACATCGTTCCTTTTCTACTTGTACCCTTTTATTTGGCAGGGTCAGGGAGGGGCGGTCACTGTTGCTTATAAAACCATGCAAAGAATGTGTATTCTGAAAAGTTTCTGTTGTAGTGACTTTAATCTTCAATTTCTAGTTTCTAATTTATTTTAAACTACAAATGATTCATGGTATTTTGACATCTATAGTTAGGAAAGAGTAGTAGCTTTGTATTATAATTTACTACAAACGTATTTTCTTTTCAAACGTACTTAAATTAAAAATGAGGTTTTCTTTCATTTAAAAAAATATTAAGTTGGACATGAAAAGCAAGCTGAAGGGAAAAATATATATCTTAAAGAACATAAAGACATCTCTAAGATTTTGATACACATATTGGGTATTTCATTTTCTAAATACTGATCTACAGCTGTGACACTCTTCTAAAACTCTACCTCTTCATTTATATACATTCATTTGGACATGACAGCTTTTTATTTTTACTACTTTTTATTTTCAGGAAGTCTAAAAATGAACATGATTTTTGCATTTTAAATTTTATTTATCCTCTACATTGCCTATGTCAGTGGCTTTCAAATCATATAGAAATTCTTAAGTAGGTACCCTAAATAAATATTTTTGATATGACACTCAGAAAACTGCATTTTAAGATACACTCTGAAGCAGTGTTAATCTTATTATTTCAAATCTAAATCTTAGAAACTCCAAAATAATTTTTTAAGTTGCTGGAGCTATATACTAATGAAATAAAGTTTAAAAGAGGACATAGTCAAACTATGGAAGATCTGGTAACTCTGATAACAATTCTTTATTTTACTTATTTTATTTCATGGAATGAAATAAAATAGTCTTATTAAGATGGTGCCATGAGCAAAACTGTACCTATGAAAAAAGGCATCATCGGTATTATGGTGATGTAGAAGAATCCTTTAAATATGAACAAAAGTGGATAATGACTGGATGAAATTAAAGGGTTGATCGTTAGGAGAAAAAATCAGACTGGAATCTGAGGTTGATTTTTATCACTGGTTTTGGCTCTCCTCAAAATTTCATGTTTGGATCAGAAAAGAATAACCTCAGTAAACACTCCCTTTTAATTGTTTTTTTTTTAGTTTTTAGTTTTCATGTACACATAGTAGTTGTACATACTTATGGTGTACATGTAACACTTTGATACAAGCATATAATATGATATAATCAAATATGGGTAATTGACATATTCATCACCTCAATCACTTATCATTAGTTTGTGTTGGGAATATTTCAATTCTACTCTTCTAGTTATTTTGGAATATATGATAAGTTATTGTTAACTATAGTCAGCCTATTGTGCAACTAAACACTAGATCTTATTCCTTCTAATTAACTATATTTTTATACCCATTAACAAATGGAACAGACATGGTAGACACTGTTTCATAGAAATCCTGAAGTCCAGCTCAGCAAGTAGTGCTAGTTTCTCTTGATTAGGGCCTATTCCTGCTTTGTAGGAATTATCTACATGGCTTTAGATTTTGCCCTTTGAGCTCTTATTCTGCATTCTTCCTTTTCAGTAAGGAGAGTCTATATTTGTAGCTGAGTAGCTTTCCCAATCTTCTTACTCCTAGAAGGTTGTGATCCTCAAACTTGCTTTTGATTTTGACCATCCTTTGTATTTTTCAGTTCAAGCTTATGGTGCTTCTGTTAGTACAATTCTCTTAAAAATGATGGATTTCCTATTCATCTTTTTTTGCCTCTTTTAAACAAAAAGTCAAACTCCTGAAGCTTTGTAAGATGGGTTCTTCTCTATATTGGTCTGTGAACAATGGTGCTGCGGAACAACCTTCCAAGATTCTTTGAAACCATTTTTAAGATTTTATAGGGTATATTCACATGTCCTTACGATATTGTAGAAATCATATTATCTGAGAGGTGATAACAACTTTAACAATTCTTAAAATAAAATTGCTGTAGTAAAAAAATGAAAAAAGAAATCACCTTATGTCATTTTGACATCTTATCAAAAATTCCCACAGCTACACACTTTAATCTTAAAATTACTCTAAGGCCATGTTTTACCAGTAGACCCTGGATTTGAGTTTTCCTCTATGGTTATTCTTACCCTGGGAGTATTTGAGCGGGTGGGAAGAGTCTTCTAGTCCCTCATATATCCTCTAAATTTTGCTAAACTATCAAATAGTTTCATCCTTAGTTTATTTCTCTCTATATTCACTTTTTCGGACACTATTACAAGAAACCAGTTGACCTGAAAAATCTCTTTAGATCAATTCATATACTCATAAAGTTCATTTTTTTCTTTTTCATGTTACTGCAGGCAATTGTTCTGCTAAACATTCTGCCACTAGAGAACACACATTATCATCCCTCTGGGCTCTTGTTTTGCATCCTTTTAGCTTCCAGTGGAGTCTCCTTGACATCATTTTTGCTTCTACTAATTGCCTGGTTTCAAAGTCAATGTCAAATTGTTTAGATTTCTGTTATAGCACCTCAACCGAAAATTCCAAGGTGGCTCATTCACATGGCAGGTTCTTGATTGAAAGAAAGTTCAATAGATGCTACTTACTGTGGAATCCACATATAACCTTTCATGTGAAATGGGCTCTCACTGCAGGGCTACTGAATTTCAAGAGGTAAGCAGCAGAAACTGCAGGTTAGTTAAGGGCTATTTTTGGACCTGACACTTCTACTATATTATTTTGGTTAAAGCACTCTCACAGCTTGCACACATTCAAGAGAGTGGAAAGACAGATCCCAACACCTAGTGAGAAAATAGTAAGATTATAATGCCAAAGAGCATGAGGATGGAAGGTAGAGGTGTAGTCATAATTAAAAGATACAATCTGCCATACATTCTGCTTAGAATGATTCTTACACCTGGACTGCATGCTCATTTAGAAAATTCATTTCATACACTCTGTATTTTTGACTAAACATTTACTAATGGCATATTTTGTTTTAGAAATAGTGTGAATCATTTTTAACCTGGCAATCATAAACAATTAAAAAGTTACAAATCTAAAACAGCTAATAATAAATGGTGGCAGACATTTATTCAATTTTGACTCATATTAGGAAGTATAGGGCAATTTAATTCTCATTATTTTCCAAATGGCCTTTTTGTTTGTTTGCTTACTTTTGTTGTGGCTTAACACTGAAAGTTTTCAGAGTCTTTTTTTGTCCCTGTTATTATTACAGATTTTCACAATGGTTTTGGGAAAGAGCCTTTAAAACTCACTGTGCTAAGCAATAAATGAGACTTTTCCATCTGAAGATATTGTAATCTAGGTAATACAGTAGAATTGTGGTGATGATTTTCTTCTCTTCAATTTTTAGGTTTCTCTCTTTCTATAATACATGTAATGCAGTTGTTGAAATGTCAACTTTGATTGATTATCTATGGCTCTTATCTTTTCAACACCTTAATCTTGGTCACTTGATTTTGTGTTTTGGGAAATCTACAGATTTCTCCAAAACTTCTAATTTTTTTTTCATACTGTTGTGTTTTTTACAGTTGTAGTTTTAATCTTTAAGTCTTTCCTATGTCTTTACTTGTATTACTTCCATGTTTCTTTGCATTATTTTTAATTTATTAATTTATTTTTTCTCTTTTCTTTTTCTTAACCTACTTTTTAAAAATACGTGTTTTAGGTTTTGCAATCCAGACTATCAAAGTTTTACTTAGTTGTGTGTTAATCCTTGATAGTCTGTTCATTATTAAGATTTAAAAATATTGAGTCACCACCATCATGTCCACAGCCATAAATCTTAGGACCAAGATCTTCCAGGCATGGCCCCTGGACAAGGGAAGCTTCCCACTGAAACTTTTCAATAAATATGAAAGCCTAAAGAGAAATTTATGAGGTGCCTTCATGATAATAAATGTGAAAATATTTTGCAGAAGAATAAATCAAAAGCATATTCAGAATGCAGAATGGAGAGACAACAAAAGGCGTAAAAACCAAGAGGAACACTAGGATTTGGAGATTTGATAGAAAATCATAGACAAAAATAAATTTTGATGGGAAGAACACTGGACTTTATTCAAGGAGAGGTCTGAGAAACAGCATGTTGCACTATGTGCATCGTATGAACCCTGGAGGTTTCATTATCATGTCGAATTACATAGGAATGAATTTTCAGAATGCCCTTTAAACACTTAAAGAGAAATCAAAACTGAGATACCTACCTTTACAGATAGGAAAACAGGGAAATGGCTTATCATTTGAAAACCTTACAGAATTATTTACAAAACAAAATAGCGTTTCTTTCAGATTCTTATTTTCCCCTATGAGAGCATTTTGTTTTATCTTTAAATCCATAAATGTGACAAAGCTAACATGAAGGCTGATGACAGGAAGTACGAATGCCAACATAACATTACAATTTGTAAGTGGATGCCTCGGGTCTCCTATAAAATGGTATTTTTACTTATAATAGTCTATCTTTCAGTATTAACATGTGTAAAATATTCACAATTTCAGTCACAAACTTCAGTCAAATTATATAGACAGATATTGTCAAGAAATAGCCTTTCACTGGCAAAATGTTTTCCTTCTTGTACTCATAAATATACATAAGAGTTTCTTTCTTTTTAAAAAAATAGAGTACAAAATAGCAAGTGAGAAATTCTGTTTTTTTACATAATTGACTTTTTGATTTTTTTCTGGTTATGCCTAAACACTAAGTGCCTTTCCAATCAAAGGATCATTTTCTGATTCTGTCAAACTATTTTTATAAAACCAGATGTTTAAGTTCAATATCATTTATTGTAACTACGAAAAGTAAAATTCCAATACATTTGTAGTTTGACTTACAAAATAAAGATTGAGAATGTTTGAAAGCTGACTGTAATATTTTTTTGTGCCTGAGTGAAATTTGTTGTTTGAGAAGCTCACATGTATGGAAAATTGTTTGCAAGAGTTGTGCCCTAGACCAAAATGAAACAGTAGGGATTGATTAAAACAAAGCTACCGTTTGAAAAATATAAATCAGTCCATGTATATGAAACAATTATTTTCAAGGCATTGAACATCAAGCCATGTAGGACAGTGTTGACAGCAGGTAAACAAAAGAGTCCTGATTGCCCCAGCTCCCTGCTCACAGGGAATTCCCAAGCCACAGCTCAGCATGGGGATTCCAGAAGGAGCTCCACAAACTCCCTGATTGGAAGGGATGATACCATCTTAAAATTAAACTGAGAAATATTAAGGACTGTTTAAATAAATGGAGAAATGTGCCATGTGAGTGGATTAAAAACCTAATTTTGTTAATATTAATTTTTCTAAACTGTATCTTTAGATACCCCCCAAAATACAGACACTGATTAGCTGACTCTAAAATCTCTATTGAAATGCAAATAAACAAAAATAGCTAAAATCATTTCTAAAATAATGATCAGAGTTGGAGGATGATATGATTTGGCTCTGTGTCCCCACCCAAATCTCATCTTGAATTGTAATCCCTGCATGTTGAGGGAAGGAGGTGAATGGATCATAGAGGCAGTTTCTCCCATGCTGTTCCTGTGACAGTGAGTAAGTTCTCATGAGATCTGATGGTTTTTATTTATTTTTACTTTTGTTTTATTTTTCTTTATTTCTTCTAAAAAATAATTGGGATACACGAGCAGAACATGCCGATTTGTTACATAGATATACATGTGCCATGGTGGCTTGCTGTACCTATCGATCTATGATCTAAGTTTCCTCCCTTGGTCCCCCACCCCCTAACAGGCCCTGATGTGTGTTGTTCCCCTCTCTGGGTCCATGTGTTCTCATTGTTCAACTCCCATTTATGAGTTAGAACGTGTGGTGGTGGTTTTCTGTTCCTGTGTTAGTTTGCTGGGGATGATGGCTTCCCGCTTCAGCCATGTCCTTACAAAGGACGTGATCTCTTTCCTTTTTATGGCTGCATAGTATTCCATGGTGTATGTGTACCACATTTTCTGTATCCAATCTATCATTGATGAACATTTGGGTTTGTTCCATGTCTTTGCTGTTGTAAATAGTGCTGCAATAAATATATGTGTGCACGTGTCTTTATATTAGAAGTATTTATATTCCTTTGGGTAAATACCCAGTAATGGCCTTGCTCAGTCAATGGTATTTATGATTCTAGATCCTTGAGTAATCACCATACTATCTTTCACAATGGTTGAACTAATTTACATTCCCATCAACAGTGTAAAGGCATTCCTATTTCTCCACAGCCTTGCCAGCATTTATTGTTTCTTGACTTTTTAATAATTGATGGTATCTCATTGTGGTTTTGATTTACATTTCTCTGATTATCAATGATGTTGAGTCTTTGTTCACAGGTTTGTTGGCCATGTAAATGTCTTCTTTTGAGAAGTGTCCGTTCATATACACCTTTTGACGGATTTGTTTGTTGTTTTCTTGTAAATCTGTTTAAGTTCCTTGTGAATTTTGGATATTAGACCTTTGTCAGATGCTTAGATTACAAAGATTTTCTCCTATTCTGTAAGTTGCCTGTTCACTCTGATGATAGTTTATTTTGCTGTGGTGAAGTGCTTTAGTTTAATGAGATCCTACTTGTCAATTCTGGTGTTTGTTGCAATTGCTATTGGCATTTTTGTCATATATTCTTTGCCCACACCTATTTCCTGAATGATGTTGCCTAGGTTTTCTTCTAGGATTTTTGTCGTTTTGGGTTTTACATTTAAGCCTTTAGTCTATCTTAATTTTTGTATAAGGTGTAAGGAAGTGGTCCAGTTTCAGTTTTCTGTATATGGCTAGCCAGTTTTTCCAGCACCATTTATTGAATAGGAGATCCTTTCCCCATTGCTTGTTTTTTGTCAGATTTGTCAAAGACCATATGGTTGGAGATGTGTGGTGTTATTTCTGAGGTCTCTGTTCTGTTTTGTTGGTTTATATGTCTGTTTTGGTACCAGTACCATGCTGTTTTGGCTACTGTAGCCTTGTGGTATAGTTTGAAGTCAGGCAGTGTGATATCTCCAGGTTTGTTCTTTTTACTTAGGATTGTCTTGACTATACAGGGTCTTCTTTGATTTCATAAGAAATTTAAAGTGGTTTTTTTCTAATTCTGTGAAGAATGTCCATAGTAGTTTGAAAGGAATAGCACTGAATCTATAAATTACTTTGGGTAGTATGGCCATTTTCACAATATTGATTCTTCCTATCCAGGAGGATGGAATGTTTTATTCATTTGTGTCTTCTCTTATTTCCTTGAGCAGTGGTTTGTAGTTCTCCTTGAAAAGGTCCTTCACATACCTTGCTATCTGTATTCGTAGGTATTTTATTCTCTTTGCAGCAATTGTGAATTGTAGTTCATTCATAATTTAGCTCTCTACTTGTCCGTTTTTGGTTTATAGGAATGCCTGTGATTTTTTCACATTGATTTTGTATCCTGAGACTTTGCTGAAGTTGCTGATTAATTTAAGTTTTGGGGCTGAGATGATAGGATTTTCTAAATATAAAATCATGTTGTCTGCAAACAGAGATAATATCAGAAGTACAAAAAGGAGCTGGTACTATTCATTCTGACACTATTCCAACAATTGAAAAGGAGGGACTTCTCCCTAACTCATTTTATGAAGCCAACATCATCTTGATACCAAAACCAGGAAGACACACAACCAAAAAAGAAAACTTCAGGCCAATATACCTGATGAACATCGATGCAAAAATCCTCAATTAAATACTGGCAAACCAAATCCAGCAGCACATCAAAAATCACATCCATCATGATCAAGTTGACTTCATACTGGGAAGCAAGACTGGTTCAACATACTCAAGTAAATAAACATAATCGATCACATAAACAGAAGCAAAGACAAAAACCACATGATTACCTCAGTAGATGCAGAAAAAGCCTTTGATAAAATTCAACATCCCTTCATGTTAAAAATTCTCAATAAACTAGGTATTGATGGAACATATCTCAAAATAATAAGAGCTATTTATGACAAACCCACAAACAATATCATTTTGAATGGGTGAAAGCTGGCAGTAATTTCTTTGAAAACTGGTACAAGACAAGGATGCTCTTCTTCACCACTCTTATTCAACATAGTATTGGAAATTCTGGGCAATCAGGCAAGGGAAAGAAATAAAGGATATTTAAATAGGAAGAGAGGAAGTCAAACAATCTGATGGTTTTATAAGGTACTTTTCCCCTATTCACTTTTTTCACATGCTCTCTCACCAGCTGCCATGTAAGACGTGCCTGCTTCCCCTTCTGCAATGGTTGCAAGTTTCCTGACGTCTCCCCAGCCATGTCGAATTGTTAGTCAGTTATACCTCTTTTCTTTAGAAATTACCCACTCAGGTAGCTCTTTATAGCAGTGTGAGAGTGAACTAATACATTAAATTGGTACTACAGAGAGTGGGGTACTGCTATAAATATACTTGAAAATGTGGAAGGACTTTGGAACTTGGTTACAAGCAGAGAGGTTGGAACAGTTTGAAGAGGTCAGAAGAAGACAGGAAGATGTGGGAAAGTTTGGAATTTCCCAAGGGCTTGCTGAATGGTTTTGACCAAAATGCTGATAGTGATATGGACAATGAAGTCCAGGCTGAGGTGGTCTCCACTGGAAATGAGGAACTTCTTGGGAAATGGAGCAGAGGTCACTCTTGCTATGCTTTAGCAAAGAGACTGGTGGCATTTTGGCCCTGCCCTAGATATCTGTGGAACTTTGAACTTGAGAGAGATTATCTGAAATTGGAACTTATATTTAAAAGGGAAGCAGAGAATAAAAGTTTGGAAAATTTGCAGCCTGACAATGAAATAAAAAAGAAAAACTCATTTTCTGGAAAGAAATTCAATACAGCTGCAGAAATTTTACATTAAGTAATGAGGAGCCAAATGTTAGTCACCAAGATAATGGGAAAAATGTCTCCAGGGCATGTCAGAGGTCTTGGCAGCAGCTCCTCCCATCACAGGCCCAGAAGCCTAGGAGGGAAAAATAGTTTCTTGAGCCAGGCACAAAGACTCCCTGCTCTGTGCAGCCTTGGGACTTGGTGCCCTGTGTCCTAGCTACTCCAGCTAGTGTTTTGGCTAAAATGGGCCAAGGTATAGCTCAGGCCATACATTACTTCAGAGGGTGCAAGCTCCTATGGCTTACAAGTGGTTTTGGGGCCAGTGAGTGCACAGAGATCAAGAGTTGACATTTGAGAACTTCTGCCTAGATTTCAGAGGATGTATGGATTTCAGAGGATGTATGGATTTCAGAGGATGTATGTCTAGATGTGCAGGCAGAAGTCTGCTGCAAGGGCTGAACCCTCATGAAGACCATCTGGTAGGGCAGTGAAGAAAGGAAATGTGGGGTTGGAGCCCCCACAAAATGTCTGCACTAGGGCACTGCCTAGAGGAGGTATGAGAAGAGGGCTACCATCCTCCAGACCCCAGAATGATAGATCCACCAACATCTTGTACTGGGTGCCTGGAGAAGCCACAAACACTCAATGGCAACCCATAAAAGCAGCTGTGGGGGATGAACCCTGCAAATCCACAGGGGCAGAGCTGTCCACGGCTCTGGAATCCCACCTTGTGCATCAGCGTGCTCTGGGTGTGAGTCATGGTGTCAAAGGAGACCATTTTGGAGCTTCAAGATTTAATGACTGCTCTGCTGGATTTTGGACTTGCATGGAGCCTGTAGCCCCTTTGTTTTGGCCAATTTCTCCCAATTTAGAATGGGAAAATTTACCTACTACCTATACCCTCATTGCATCTTGAAAAGTAACTAACTTGCTTTTGATTTTACAGACTGATAGGCAGAAGGGCCTTCTCTCAGATCAGACTTTGGACTTGGACTTTTGGGTTAATACTGGAATAAGTTAAGACTTTGGTACTGTTGAGAAGGCATGATAGGTTTTAAAATGTGAAAAGGACATGAGATTTGGGAGGAGCCAGGGATGGAATGATATGGTTTGGCTTTGTGTCCCCAACCAAACTTCATCTCAAAGTGTAATCCCCACATGTCAATGGAGGTAGGCGATTGAATTAGAGTGGTGGTCTCCCCCATGCCGTCCTCATGATAGTGAATGAGTTCTAAGAGATCTGATGGTTTTATAAGGGGCTTTTCCCCACTTGCTTCCTACACACACTCTCTCTCCCACCTTTCGCCATGTAAGATGTGCCTACTTCCCCTTCCACAGTGATTGTATGTTTCGTGAGGCCTCCCCAGCCATATGAAACTATAAGTCAATTAAACCTCTTTTCTTTATAAATTTTCTTTATAAACAGTCTTGTGCAGTTCTTTATAGCAGTGTGAGAACAGAGTAATACAGAGAACTTATACTATCTAGGCTGACATTGTATAGTTACAGTAATCAATATTGTATGGTCTCGGCAGAAGAATAGACACTAGATGTATAGATAGAACACTTATGTCAAAATAGATGTACCCAAAAGTGCAAAGGGAATTCAGCGAGAAGAGATCTTCGAATGAAGTTGCAACAACTGCATATTCATATTAAAGACAATTTTTAGGCAAACCTTGCAGCATCAAAATAAAGAACCTCAAAATATATCACAGACCTAAATATAAAAGGTAAAATCATAACTCTTCTAGAAGAAAATGTAAGATAAGTTTTTCTGGCATTGTATTGAAGCAAAGATTTAATAAATACAAAATCAAAATTAAAATACCAAAGAAAATTTTGTCTCCATTATAAAATCATAAATTAGAATTCATCAAAGTTAATAACTGTAGCTGTTTGAAGAACAATATTTTTTTCTTATCCTACCATGCCTAAGATGAACAATATTAGTAGAATGAAAATACAAGCCACAAACTGAGAGAAAATGTTTTCAAATCAAAAGTATGATAAAGGAAGTGGCACAAGATGGCAGCCACCATGGGCTCAGACAATTTATGAAAACTAAATGTATGGCTTTAATCTAGAATGTGGACCTAAATACCGAGAAATGTCACCCCTTTTAAGATTTATAACAAAAATTAATATAAACGGAGTTAATAGTTCTAATGTAGTGGTGGATCCAAAAGCTCTATCAGTGCTAGCAAAAAAGTAGAATTTATATAGCTTCTAAGTTGTTCTGCAACAACTTTGGCACCTAATGATGTCTAAATAAAATATAAAGCTTCTTCAGCTGCCTGAAGAACAATCAAAAAGAAAAACACTTCTTCTTTATAACAAGAGAAGTGTTGAAAGGCACTTCTCTTTCTACCCCATTTTATTAAAACAATCTTCATTTTCCACAGCAGTAAATTTTCCAGATACATCTTGCAGACCACAAAATACTAGAAAGGAACCTCTCATTCAAAGGCAATTTATTTTAAGATACTGTAAATGATATATTTTTTGTCCACTCAAAGGATATAAGTTGTGCTATAACATATCATCCTATGAAGTGTAACCACTGTCCACATAGTTAAACTTCTGGGAGTGAGAAAGTATATTTAAATTAATTCCCATAGTAACTGGTGGGGAACATCTAACTCAGCTGTGAAAAGACACATCACACAATCGCCTTGCTGCTGATTCCATGTCTTGGGTCTTTTCTTTTCCCCTCTTCTCTCACCCCTTCTCCCATCTTCCTAGTAATAGCTGTCAGCTTGAGGGTCTTGTTAGACCAGATGTGAAGGTTTCCAGTTGGTTGCAACCTGTGGCACTACTCCTGGTTCTGTGGGGTATTTTGCCTGCACCTCTGATTTCTTTCTTTAAGTCTGAAGTGATCCCCCGCTTCTAAGACATCATCCTGTTCCTCTACTCCTCCACCCCTGTCCTTAGAGAAAGCACAGACTGTAACACCTCTGCAACCCTGAGAGATTGGACTTTGGTGAGGAATTCAGGGATTTCCCCATATATTCTCTCCTCCACCTTTATTGAGGGATGCTTCATTTTTCCTCTCTCCTCCTCAAGTCCCTTTTTTCACTGTCACCACCCAACATCTTCCATGACACTTCCTTACTATTGCCAGAAGCCATCAGATAAGGTTGGAAAGAGTCTCCGATCTCCTTCATTTAGTTTTAAAGTCACATTTATTCACTTTCCACAAGACTGGAAAATAAGTATTGTGTCCTCAGCCCTGCCACCCTCTGCTGTCATCATCAGTTGATGTGGTTTTCTTAGCTCAAGTTTTGATAAGTTGAGAAGAACAGTGACCAGGATTAGTCAGTCCTGACAGGTCTCAGAGTCTTTGGTGGTTAAACTTGGAGAAAGGTCTCATAAAATACTTGTAAGCACACATGATCCCTCTGATTTGTTTTCTTTTTCTGTAATTGCTTTTGCCCTTAAAAATTGAAGAAGTTTTAAACAGGATTCTCATTTGGTCATCCTTGCAATCCATTGCATCTAATTTTGAGCCTGACAACTGGAACAATAAACCCTTGTATTTGGACACACTTTGGTTTTGGTTCTTCTCACCATCCTCTGCAGGGATTGAGAAATAACTTTGTGTTAACAGCCTCTGAAATTGGTGGGCTTGACTTCCTGGGAAATTGCTGCATTTTTCCACTTTCTGGTCAGGACAACTAAATGCTAAAATGTGGATGCATACCAAATACAAGAAATTCGTAGTGAAAAGAAATCTGGTAAAAGATTTATATCTAGAATAGATATAAATAACACACTCTAAAAACTCAGAAAACAAATATACCTCTCATGGTTAAAGATTTGAAAAAATAGTACACTTCACCAACGCAAGTAGCAAACGCAAGTGCAGAAAAGTATTCAACATTATAAGTCATTAGGTAAATGCAAATAAAAACCAAAATGAGATGCCAGTATACACACATATGAATGGCTAAACTGAAATGACTGACTATACCTAGTGCTGGCCAATTTGTGGAACAACTGCAACTCTTACACACTGCTAAGAAACGTATAAAATGACATAATCAATTTAAAGAAAAAATATTTGCATTCTTAAGAATGTGAATATGCATGTAACATATGATATAGCCATTTCACCTCTTACTACTACAGAGAA
Source organism: Homo sapiens (assembly GCF_000001405.40). NCBI lineage: Eukaryota > Metazoa > Chordata > Mammalia > Primates > Hominidae > Homo > Homo sapiens. The sequence goes on along the minus strand of NC_000005.10, from coordinate 18,884,983 downwards.
ATAAAACACAACACAAATGTTATGAGTATTATGTGTATTAACCAATAGCTACAGGCAACATGAATATTCATCTACAGGTAAATAGTTAACTAAGTAGTGACATTTTCATACAATGGAATACTATTCAGGAATGAGCTAAATCTCAAAATAACTATGCTATGTGAAAGAAAATCAGACAAAAAATATTGCATATTGCTTTATTCCATTAATACAAAGTTCTAGAAAATGTGCATTGATCTAGTGTGACAGAATATTTCCCTTGGAAGTCTCTATGGTAGATTGCAAACTTTATTATAACACTGATTCCCCAAAGCATCCATTTGTTTAACATAGACTTTATTTTTCAGAACAATTTTAAGTTCACAGCAATATTGAGCAGAAAGCACATAATTCCCCCTAACACACACATACAGTCTCCCCCAACATCAACCTCCCACATCAAAGTGTTACATTTGTTATAATCAATGAGCCAACATTAGCACAATGTTATCACCAAAGTTCATAATTTACATAAGGCTCACTCTTAATGTTGTACTTTTTACTGATTTTGCAAATGTATAATGACATGTATCCATCATTATAGTAGCGTAGAGAGTAGTCTGACTGCCCTAAAGATCCTTTGTTCCATGCTATTTTCCATGTGACATTTCACCTATTCCCATCAAGCAAAGGAATATATCATCACCTTTCCTGAGAAATGAGTTGTTTTAATTTGCATTTCCCTGATCATTAGTGATGTTGAGCATTTTTTCATATGTTTGTTGGCTGATGAGATTGGAGACCATTATTCTAAGTGAAGTAACTCAGGAATGGAAAAACCAAACATCGTATGTTCTCACTGGTATGTCGGAGCTAAGCTATGAGGACACAAAGGCATAAGAATGATACAATGGACTTTGGGGACTTGCGGGGAAGAGCAGGAGGGGGGTGAGGGATAAAAGACAACAAATACGGTTCAGTATATACTGCTCAGGTGATGGGTGCATCAGGATCTCACAAATCACCACTAAAGAACCTACTCGTGTAACCAAATACCACCTGTACCCCAAGAACTTATGAAAAAAACTTTAAAAACTATTATGCTAACAAAAAAATAAAAATAAAAAATAAATTATCTTATTTTTCCTAATAAATAAATAAAAGACACCATTCAGTTTGGTCTGGTTTCTTGTGGAGGGGCGCAAATCTGAGAATGAGGGGTAGTGATCCAGACCTAAAAAAAAAAAAAAAAAAACACAGAAAGAAATGGGTTGGCTGAATGCAGCAGAGGTAACAAAGGGCTGATTCTAAATTTATTTCTCAAAACACCTTGAATGTTTCTGCTGTCTGTCTTTGAAGGCCTGTCCAATTACCATAAGAACTTACTCAGGCTTTCGTACTAGTCGATGAGAGATCAAGTAGAGCAGAGTTGAGTCCTGCTGAGGCATCCTTGACTGGCTGGTCATCTGCCAGCCCTGGAAAGTGACTACAGATGCATGAGTGAGACTAGTCAAAATCAGAACCGTTCAGCTGAGTCTACCCCAAACTACCAAACTGTAGAATTCTGAACTATATAAATGGCTACTGGTTTAAGCTACAAAGTCTTGGGGTGTTAGGTTTTGCAGAAAGATCTTACAGAACCGTCTCTTATGCACCATCCCCACCTTTGCAAATAGACCGTGTAATTATATTCTCCTCAGATAATATTTTAGTATAACATCAATTCTTTCCTGTTCCTCATTGATAAATTGGTGATTGGTGAAATGTTTAGGATATATCCCAGAAAATGCAAAGTGTCCCACTGCATCCCTCAATAATATTCATCTTTCTTTGCCTAGACTAACTGCTTTCTATAAAACTTTTTCATTGCTACTATAAACTTTCAAGATCTGGTTTCTCTTAACTTCATTTTGTGGATTGTAAATATAAATATTTTGCTCTATTTCAGGTTCACTTTTTGATACTCTAATTTAGTGCATCAGGGTATTTTGAGTTACTTCTCTGAGTTTGTTAAAATTGGGGTATATTGAGAGCATTGACTTGCTAGATAAGGCCTAACATTTTCTATCATGGAGGTTACAAAAAAATACTCCAATTACCCTCTTCATGAGACCACACCTTGTCTCATCTTTCTACACTTACAATAGAACATGAAGGTATGTAGCAAACATTTTATAGCACATTTTAAGTCAATAGTATTTTACATTATCTTTTTTAAAAGACCACAAATAAGCGATCTAATTTACTCCTATTCATTCAGAGTAGACACAAGAATGAGGACTTATCACATTACACATGTAAGAAGTTTAAAATGCAAAATATTTGCAGCATACACATATACATCTTTCTTAACTAAATTTTTCCACTGTTATTAATCAGTCAATCTTGAAGAAAATGATTTGAAATGATATGTTTATCTTTTATTTAATTTCAAGGGCTCTACTTAATAGATAACTCTTGTCTTCGAGCAGTCAATTGAAATCTTTTATAAAATACCATTTGGTTATTCAATAGTAGGAATCACACTGAGAGAAACTGCGAGATACTTATTCAAGATCTGACTCATCAGGATTTATATATGCAAAGATTTTATTGACCTTAGAGTCAATGAAACTTCAGGCAGAAATTTTGCCTGAGCAAACACAGCTGAATAAGAACCAAAGTGAATTATTATAGTGCCTATCTGCAACCCAGATTGGCAATCATCCAAAATGAATATGTAAGTTGAAAAGAGTCTGATTGCTAAATGTAAAACTGCATCGCTAGCTATTTTTCCTCAGCAATGTAAGGAAAAATATCAATCCATTGTTAAGGATGCAGAGATTTTCTAGCATAGAATTTTATCCAATGACTAAATCAAACCTGATGCTTCAATTTTAGCTTAAGGTTTTGGTTTGATGATGTCATTACAGGGTTTGTTTGTTACTAAAAAGATACGAAATTAGGGATGAACCTATAGATCTAAGAAGAAATGGAAACATGGCAAGAAAAGTAGGGCATATTATAATAGTAACCAAGGCACAGGCTGAGAACAAGCAGAGGGCTTGAAAGTAGAAAGGGTCCAAGAAAAGGGTGAAACTATTTAAATTGGAATACAAAGAGATCAAGTTCATTGGTGGATACTGGTTAGTGAGTGCTAACATTTATGGATAAGTTAAAATTAGTCATACATCTTCTAAGGGCTTTATTTGCATTGACTCATTTAGTGCTCATTGACCTTATGAATTAGGTAGTATTAATATTCCCAGATGACAAATGAAGGAACTAAAATTAGGGGAATTAAGAAACTCATCCAAGGTCCTCCAAGTAGTTAGAAGTAGTTAGTGTCAAAGTCAGGATTCAAATCCTGACTTTGTGTATGACCGCAGAGCTCATGATCTTTATGAGTACATAATATTTCCTCTCAAGCATAAGTCCATGTCTGGCAATTGACTAATTAGAGATCAAGAACTAGATTACCTTTATATCAATGGTTAGAATATTGAAACATATTTTCTAAATTCCATGTCACTAAGAAATAAATGGTCTGTGGAGGAAAGGATGAAACAACAGGTTCGAAACTATCCCCTCCCTGCCAGGGAGGTCAGGGTGTGAAAAATGACCTGGAGAGGATCTTCAAGTGACTCTTCCTAATTATTTGCCTCAGACCTGCAAGTCCATGCTGAAAAATATGCCAGTAGCTTTTTAAGAGTGGAAAAGGTAGTGTCGATCTATAAAATGACTATACCAGGACATAGCTGATCCCCCGATTTTATAGGCTTGGCATTTGTGAATTTATGGGATTGGTTGGCTACAAAATGGGTGACAATCTGATAAACTATGTGATTTAAGGAGTTTGAAACATAGATGTCCCATGGCTGAAAAGATTTCCTTTGTGATCAATGCTTCCACATACATTATTGTTATTGTGGAACCAAAATGTTTCCCGGTGCAGATAAGAAAAGGAAAACTTTTGAGTGTTACAGTTTTCAAACTTCTCAAGGAAAACAATATTTTATCTATGCTTTGCATTTTCCACTATATTAAATATCAGCAAAATTTGAGGTCGACTAATATCCATGATTTGTGTCATCTATTTTAGCAATTCAACTCTTCACACTAAAATTTGTCAGGGATGAAATTGCTATTTAGAACTATGAATCATAGTGTCTAAGAAAATATTTAACAGAAATGGCTATGAAAAAGTGAAGATAGGCCGGCGCAGTGGCTCACACCTGTAATCCCAGCACTTTGGGAGGCCTAGGCAGGCAGGTCATCTGAGAGTGGGAGTTCGAGACCAGCCTGACCAAAATGGAGAAACCCCGTCCCTACTGAAAATAAAAAAATTAGCTGGCCATGGAGGCACATGCCTGTAATCCCAGCTACTCAGGAGGCTAAGGCAGGAGATTCGCTTGAACCCGGAGGTGGAGGTTGCGGTGAGATTGCACCATTGCACCCTAGCCTGGACAACAGAGCGAGACTCCGTCTCACACACACACAAAAAAAAAAAAAAAAGAAAAGAAAAAGAAAAAGTGAAGATATCTTTTTTTTAATCTTCTAACTTTAATAAAATTAATATTGATTTTAAAATAAAAAGTTGGAGGTAATTTGGGGAAAATGGGGAGAATTTGATGCTGGTGTAACTCTGTAACTTTGGTATGAAGAAGTAAAACTTTTGAGGCAAGCTGTAAGAGAAAGTATTACCATTGTGATTAGAGGAAGCAGGATTATTTTGGAGAATGTCCTAAATGAGTAAGGATAAAATATCAAATGTAAGAAATATTTTTTCATGGCTATTGTGAGAAGCTCAGTCTAAATCTAGGAGAGCAGAAGGAAAATAATTAAAATTGGCCTATCGTATTACTGGAAATTCTTCCAGTATCATCACTATATGATGCAACAAAGGTTGTGTAGGTGTATAAACATAATTAAATGTAATCTAGATGAGAAAAGATTTAATAAGGATTTTAAACTGTTTCCCCAAATGATGTGATAATAGAAGAAATTAAATTGTCCATAGAAGGAGTTGAATTTTGCCTTTAAAATGAGTTATTTAACAAAATGCCTTCATTAATGTATACAAAGCTTGTCAACTATTGATAATGAGAGAAAACCAGAACTTGAGCTAAGAGGATTCCAAAAAACTCATGTAGAAATAGGCTTGTGATTCCCAAGTTTTTCAACAGACTTAATATGGTTGTTGTCAGGTTTTTATAACTCATTTGTTTGCAGACATTTTTGAAAGACAAACTGTAAAAACGTATATAAACAGCATTAGGTAAGGAACCATACTTTGGCTATTGGAATTGTGCTGCAATAAATATAGGGGTGCAGATGTCTCTTTAATATAATGAGCTCCTTTCTTTTGGATAAATGTCAGTAGTGGGATTGCTGTATCATATGGTAGTTCTATTTTTTTTTTTAAGGAACCTCTATATTTTTCTCCACTGTGGCTGTATTAATATCATGAGCTCCTTTCTTTTGGATAAATGTCAGTAGTGGGATTGCTGTATCATATGGTAGTTCTATTTTTTTTTTTAGGAACCTCTATATTTTTCTCCACTGTGGCTGTACTAGCTTACATGGTTTCCCCCACAGGCAACTAACTGATAAAATTTTTATTTAACTTTTGAATTTTTACACTTTTCCTGATTATTCTGTGTTAAGTGAAACTAGAACTGTTTAAAAGACATACACAAATCTAGTACAGAAAAGTTCTCTTTTCTTTGCAACCTTGCCAGCATCTGTAATTTTTTGGCTTTTTGATAATAACTATCCTAACTAAAATGAGATGATACCTCATTGTGACTTTAATTTGCATTTCCCTGATGAATAGCGATGTTGAGCATTTTTTAGACACTTGTTGGGCCATTTGTAAGTCCTCTTTTGAGAAACGTCTGTTGAGATCATTTGGCGATTTTTAATTCGATTTTTTTTTTTTTTACTGTTAAGACGTTAGAGTTCCCTGTATACTATGGATATAGTCTCTGCCAAATGAATAGTTAGCAAACATTTTCCCCGTTTTGCAAAATTTCTTTTCACTCTGTTGCTGTTGTTTCTTTTCTTTGTTGTGCAGAAGCTCTGTAGTTTGATATAATCACATCTGTGTATTTTTGCTTTTGTTACCTGTGCTTTCAAGATCTTAATCATAAGACCTTTTAAATTAAATAGTTGCAAACTGTCTTTACAATCTTGCATCCTAGTATCCTTGTATGAAATCTGACTAACACAAATTAGATGAATGTGACATGTATGTACATGTGTGGATATGTGTCTGTGTGTGTGTGTGTGCACAACACAAACATATCCACACACATACATACATATATCCAGACACACACATATCCACACACATACATACATATATCCACACACACATATATATGTATATATATCAGCAAATTTATTAGTATCAGACACTGGAATATATGTAAAAAATAAATAATGAGTATCAAACTATAGTTTTTTTTGTACAAAGACAAAAATTATCTCAAGGAAATAAAAATTAAAGACAACATAAAACAAAATACATACTCTCAATTGCAAGAAATAACTAAAAATCCTATATTTAAAAAGACCGAAACAGGATACAATTTTCTTATAATTGCTTACAAGTATTCACATATTAATTTTATTCATATTTTAATAATGAAAGAAAATGAAAAGAATATAAAAAAGAAAAAAAGAGCATGTTGAAACTTTTGCTGACCAGGCTGTCTAAGTTGTCCTAGTCTGGGCAAAACTGATGCTCATCAGGTAACAAAGACAGCTGCTATAAATCAAATCTTGTCAGGGTTAGGTCCTGGATGTCAGATCATGTTTATCAGGTATGGTTAGCAACTAAGCCTGTGTTGTAGGTTAATACAAGAATTCAGTGTAACATCTTACACACAGCAGGAACTTAAAAATGAATACCCAGTTACAGCTAAGAAGACTTAGATTGCGTTTGACAGCAATATGTAAGCATTTGGTCCACTCTCAGGTCCTCTTCTTGTTTGAAGTATTTTCTTACTTCCTCGAGGCAACTCTTTTTTGTTGTTGTTTTCTATTAACTTGTTATTCTGCTGTGATGTCAGTTTTTATGCTGCTCATTGTAAGTGTACTTGGTAGAAAATTTTGCACGTAATATAAAATTATGGACATATATATAACATTCAAACAAATATATCAAACCATTGAAACATGACATATATGCTAATTATATGTAATTTATTATATATTATATTGAATATATTATATACTAAATTATGTATATAACATTTATGTGCAATACATATGTATATATACCAAAATATCATTAAAAATCTAGTGAAAAACAACTAATACCTAATAATAAATCAATTGGAAAACGTGCACTTTCTGTATGTGGAAAATTACCAGAATTAGTGGAAACCACAAAATAATACTGAGATAAATAGTGGCAAAACTAATAGAAAAATAAGCATTCATAGATTAAAAAATTGACAATAATATTTTGGTTATCTTCAAATTGTCCTGCAGATTCAATGCATTCCAAATCAAATGCATTCTTTGTCAAGAAACTTACTTGCTTTTGCTAAACCTGTTAGAGAAGCAAAGGATCTGAAATAGCCAAAACAATCCTGAAAAAAATTTTAAAAACACATTCAGAAGACTTACAAAGATATAAGAATAATATATTAATCAAGATAGTGTGATATGACAGAAGACTAAATAGATAAATGGAAGATAATTGGGATTCCAGAAATAAATCTGGTCATATATCATTAATTGATTTTGGATTATGGCATCAGGACAATTAAATGAGAGAATGAAATACCTTTTTTTTAACAAATGGTGTTTGAATAGCTCCACGGTCATAAGAAAAAAATAAGTTTAATCTCTACTTAACCTAAAAAAAAAATATTAATTCAAGATGGATCATAAACTTAAAAGGCTATCTTAGAACCATAAATCGTCTATGGAAAAACTATCTTCACAATTTTAGTAAGACAAGAGTTTTTACACAGGACAATCTAATAATAAAAAACATTAATTAGATTTTATAAAAATAAAATGCAACTGCTAATAAAAATACATCATGAGGAAAGGAAAATGCAAATTATAGATGATCAAAAAATAATCTGTAATTCATGTATCCCAAAAATGACTGGTATATATAATACATTTTTAAAATCTCCAAATCTATAATAAATACATGAACTAGCTAACTCATCATAGATAGTACACATGAAAACTTTTCTGAGGTTTTAGTTTTTAGTGAAATGAAAACTGAAAACACTATAATGACTACAAACAAATACAAAAAGATGGTACCATATGTTGTCACAAACAGGGCACAGTTGGAACTCTCAGATATCACTGAGTGTAAAATTTTATATCAACTTTGAGAAACTTTTGTTTATCTAAAATAATCAATGAGCATATTCATAGCCGCCTTAATCATAATAGCCAAACATTGGAAACCACCCAAATATCTATCCACAGAAGAATGGATATTCAAATGTTGATATTTTTACAGGTAACAGGATAAGTGAATCTCAAAAGCATTATGTTGATCAGAAGAAGGCAGACACAGAAAAATACATAATTGATTATTTCATTTCTATAAGTCAAAAAACAGTCAAAATTTAATCTATGGTGTTACCTACCTCTGGTTGAATGGGGAATGGAGTGGAAAGCAGGAAATTTCTTGGGTGATGAAAATATTCTGTATTCTGTTTCAGGTTTTTTGAAAAGCTGTCATAACATCAAAATGAACATTTACATGTAAATTTTACTTCAGTAACAATACATTTTTTCTATTAAAAATAGGAGAAAGAATAATTATTTCCCTCACTGTTAAACATACTGTGTTGCTTTGATTTTTATTACTGTTTAAAAAGTAATACATGCTCATCATGCAGTTTTGAAAATACTTAAATGAATATTTTAAAAAAGTATTTCTCACCATAGAGACAATACTGCTTAATAACATTTTCTGGTAAAATCACAGACTTATTTTATCTCTTATAGTTGGAAATATATATCTAATATCAATCTGCTTTTTCCTTATTAATATATTTTAACTTAATTACATGTTGCTAAATAACCTTATGCAGTATAAGTTTTAAATCTGTATAATACACCATTTTATTAGTAGATGGTAAATTTATTACTAAAAATTCCCTTTATTTTATTTTATTTATTTTATTTTTTTTTTGAGACGGAATCTCACTCCATTGCACAGGCTGGAGTGCAATGGCATGATCTCTGCTCACTGCAACCTCTGCCTCCCGGGTTCAAGCAATTCTTCTGCCTCAGCCTCCTTAGTAGCTGGGACTACAGGCGTGCACCACCATGCCAAGCTAGCTTTTGTATTTTTAGTAGAGACGGGGTTTCACCATGTTGACCAGGATAGTCTCGATCTCTTGACCTTATGATCCGCCCGACTCAGCCTCCCAAAGTGCTGGGATTACAGGCATGAGCCACCGTGCCCGGCCAAAAATTCCCTTTTCAGGCATCCAATTTATTTGCTGTTTTGTCAAGCCTCTTTATAGAATTAAGTTCTATTTGCTGTTTCTGCTTACCTGTGACAGGTACTTCTCAGTTGATTATAATCTGGCCTTCACTCTCATTACTCCACTGAAGAGGAGCCCACAAATATCATCAGTGATATCCTTTTTGCTAAATTCTTATCTTAATTCTTTCTGTAGCATTTGGCAATGTTCAACCTTCTCTTTTTCTCAAGGTTGACTTCCTGTTGACTCCAGTGATTCCACTTGGACTCAGCTTTCTTCTGTGGATGCTCTTTCCCAGGTTATTTAATACCTTCTTTTCTTCATCATTTATCTTTTTCTGAATAACCATCTTTTATAGGTTGATCTTCAGGTTAACTCTCAGACCTCTGTTGTCCAAAAATGTATCCATACATATTCTGGGTGATTTTATCTGAATGACATTATCTACTTCAATGTCTCCAACTACAAACTGTTACAGTGGTGATTTTAAAATCTCTCTTCAGATTTTTAAAACATCTCTTATTTAAGCCCTGGTCCATTGGTCAACACATATAAGCAATTTACAAATTAAACTTTTCTTTTAAATTTCCACAATCTGTTTTTATTCTTATATTTCTTACTTGATAAAGATGTGTTGACACAAATCATTATTGATATATTTAATTCACTTTCTTTTTCTTTTCTTTTTTTTTTTTTTTTTGAGATGGAGTCTTGGTCTGTTGCCCAAGCTAGAGTGCAGTGGCACAATCTCTGCTCACTGCTACCTCTGCCTCCTGGGTTCTGGGTTCAAATGATTCTCCTGCCTCAGCCTCCTGAGTAGCTGGCACTACAGGCACACACCACCATGCCTGGCTAATTTTTGTATTTTTAGTAGAGATGGGGGTTTTGCCATGTTGGCCAGGCTGGCAGGCTGGTCTTGAACTCCTGACCTCAGGTGATCCACCCACCTCGGCCTCCCAAAGTTCTGGGATTACAGGCATGAGCCACCACACCCAGCCTTATTTCACTTTCATTTGATAACATCTTAGTAGTATCTCTTAAATGTATGTTCCCACACCCTCATCTTTATTACCAACTCTGGCTCTCATCTCTCTCATGCAACAAACTCTAAACTTATATTTAATCTTGCATTCATTAATTAAGAACATTCATTCCCCAGTTTTGATATTTCTTTCAATGTTATAGGGCATTCTTTAACATGACACTATCTGCTTATAGCCCTTCAATGGCCTTTAAGGGTAACAAGGATAAAATTCCTTACCTATAATAATGACATTAAATAACCTTTGATGGTTCCCAGCCCATCTTTTGGCTATTGTATAATTACAGTCTACTCCTGATATATAACAAATGTTTGAAGTTTCTTACATGTGGTAATATTCTATTTTATAAAATCAGTTCTACTTTATTTTCCTTATTTTGCTAATTTCTAGTTGGTAAATGGTTCATTAACTTTTCCCATATTATTTTTTAGAGAAGTAATTGTTGAATCAGAGTTTTGTTTAGAGGTCTTTGAATACCAATAGAAAATGTTCTATGAAGCCTGAGAAATCTTACTGTATTTGGTAAGGCCTCTTAAAAGGAATAATACTTTTTAAGTCAAATGTGTCCTAGGAGGGCCATTGAAGGCACAAATCATCTTTGGTGAAATGATGCCATTTAGAGAAATAAGGACAGGAATTTTTATTTTAAAGAGGATTCATATAACAAACAGGAGTTTTTTTTCTGGGAGAAGAATTAGAATTAGATAACCCCAAGAAAGATGTCAACAGTTGGTTAAAATGATGCCTTTGCAGCTTGTGCCTCAGGCTCCCTACTGAATATTTTTCTTTTGTGAACACAGAAGTCTGTGGATTGCAGTCTTCTGGATTGTGAACACAGAAGACTGTGATTGCAGTCTCTGGATCAAAGCCAAGCTCTTGGGAGACAAAAATCAAGATGGAAGGAGAATCTTATCTATTTTTATTGGTGACACACCACAATTTCCAGATGAAGGCTGATCTGGTAGGAACTGTAAACATACTGGTTTGTGAGGCCTGTTCAAAAGCCAGATTTATAGGAGCTATGGCCGTGTTCTACCTTGTGACTATTCTTCTTATGAAAATCAGTACATTTAAGCAACACAATACAAAACAGAGGTATAATTAGAAAAAGCAGAAAAGAATGAAAGGTACAGCACATCTCCACCAACGATGTTAAATAAAGGGGAACCAATATTGAAATCTGGGTACCAAACTGCAAATAAATAGCTAAGGAACTCAACACCAGGAGAACAGATCTTGGACCTGATGCTGAGTTACTACGCCAGCACAGATTCAATAAACGATTAGCAGCAATACACAAGAAACCACCATGTGCATGCTGTATGGTGATGGTGGCTGATTCAATAGCCTTCGTTTATTCTCATTTAGATAGACTGTTTGTTTTCCTGAAGGCTGCATTGAGACAATGTTTTCACTGCCTTTTTTTTACAGACCCACGTCTGTGACCATGCAGCATGCTCGTGGTGGTTTCTTGAGCATTGTGTGAGATGATATCTCAGGCTGTTTTGATTTGCATTTCTCCAGTGATTAGTAGTGTTGGGCGTTTTTATATGCTTGCTGACCATGTGTATATCTTCTTTTGAGAAGTGTCTGTTCATTTCCTTTGCTCAGTTTTTAATGGAGTTGTCTGTTACATGTTGATTTGTTTTAGTTCCTTATAGATTTTGAATATTAGACTTTTGTCAAGTGCATAATTTGCAAATATTTTCTCTCATTCTGTAGGTTGTCTGTTTACTCTGTTGATTGTTTATTTAATGTGCAGAAGCTCTTTAGTTTAATGAGGTCCCACCTTTCTATTTTTGTTTTTGTCATGATTGCTTATGGAGGCTTCGTGATCAAATCTTTGCCAAGGTCTATCTCCAGAATGGTATTTCCTAGGTTTTCTTCTAGGGTTTTTATAGTTTTAGATTTATACGTTTAAGTCTTAAATCTATCTTGAGTTGATTTTTGTATATGGTGTAAGGAAGGGGGCCAGTTTCAATCTTCCACATATGGCTAGCCCGTTATTCCAGCACCAATTATATAATAGGGAGTCCTTTCCCCATTATTTTTTATTCTTAACTGTCAAAGAGTAGATGGTTGTAGATATCCTTTCTGAGTTCTAGGACCCGCCTTTTCACCTTCATGTATCAAAGGTCTTGACATCAGCTCGTCCATGATTTATCTATGTCTGCAACAAATCACTTCCCTTTTTTGTTCCCTACACCATTGACCGATGGCAGAAGCAAAAATAAATAAATAAATAAAAGAAGTGATTTTTTACTACTCTAGCTCACTCATACCAAACTCAGATAATTTTTAATTTTTTTTACTCATTAATATCGTTTAATTTTTTAAAATTTATTTTTCTACAGTGTTCATACTTGCTTAATTTACCATTTTCTTTCTTAGAGGTTATCTTAATAGCTTCTTGAGGATTGTTGTTTTTGGTCCTGGTCCTTGCTCAAGCTATGATCTAATCTATTGTTTGCTGTATAATCAGAAGGATCTTCCTGTATAATAAATCCTATTAATTTACCTCTCTCACTGTAAGATAACTATATTTTCCTATTAAATTTATGATCTCAAATTATAATCCTAGCAGGGAAACTTTTGACAGTGAAATGAACTATAAACATTACTCACAAGATTAATTAACTTACAGAAGATACAAACCAGAATTTTCCTGGAATATCAAGAAAATTTGATCTTTACAGTAACTTTATAATTTTTCCTGGATCTTTCCTAGTATATGAGAGTAAAGCAGAGAGAAATTAGACAAGTCTTAGGTTACTAGCAAGTCTCTAAATAAAATGAATGTTTATTATCTGGGTTATATTCAATAACTGAATATTGACTGACAGTAAGAAAACCACCCACTGTACAAAATTATGATTAAAAATGCATAATTAAGAATAAATGTATTCATTTATTTGTACAATTTATGGATATATTGAATACACCGATATCTTAATATCTAAAAATCGCATAGTAAGCAACAGCTATGTATCAATAATTTGGCAAAATATTTGCCACCCAGTCAACAAAATACCCAGACAGGATCTGAAGTTTTGTTTTAAAGAAACCCTTACCACATTTGCTTTAGTAATACAAATATAAGTCCTTGAATTGCACCCAGGAGCCAAGAGAAAACTAGCTTCTCTTGTAAGATTTTTAAAAATTTAGTGCATGAACTCCTTCCAGTCAATAAGAAAAGACGTACTATAATAAAATGTGTGGTCAAAGACACAAACCTATAAATAAGAGTAAAATAAAAAACAAATATAAAAAATGACTACTAATGAAAGAAACTGCAAAGTAAATTTTCAAAGAAAAATTAGTTCATTCATCACTTTGGCATGATTAGGAATGCTAATGTTCAATACATTATCAGTGAAATGGAAATTGGAAGAAACATTTTTAGAAGTTGGCCATATGATTCAAGAGTCATAAAAATTGAGTTGTTGAAGGTAAGAGTCATTAGTAGTCACACTAAAGACTACTATTCTCAGGTATTTCATTTGTTTAGCATAACCATACTATATATTTTTGAAAAGTCCATTTCAGAATAGGATGGATAAGAACAAATATTGTCTCTGAACATAGAAGAGGAATGAAATGTTTAGCATTTAGAGTGAAAATTGGCGATTGTTTTCTTGAAAAGCACTGCAATGTGTAGTTTTATCCGTAAACTAACTACATGAACAGGATGGACAAACAAATAAATAAAACAAAAACATTTCAGTCAAGTCAGATAAGAGGGCTCGAATATTAATAGTTTTGTCTTTGAACTTTTAATTACTTACAAAGGTATTTTACATGAGTATCTCATTTATTTATTTATTTTTAGAGATGAAGTCTCACCATATTGTCCAAGCTGGTCTGATTCCCTTGAGCTAAAGGGATCCTCATGCCTCAGCCTCCAAAGTAGCTGGGACAACAGACAACTGCCACCACACCCAGCTCTCATTTTGTAAAGAGATCTAAGATGGAGAGTCATATGATATGCTCCAAAATATTTAGGAGATTTATGAAGAACATTAGTAAAATCAAGCATTTACTAAATCTTGCAATAAATATGGATACCTTTTTAGGTTTATATAACTGCATTCTTGTAATGTATTCCATGACTTCAAACTTTTTATTTTTCTGTGTTTAACCTACCTTGATCATCCATAAAAAATGGATGTTATATTCTGAACCATTAGCTCCTAATAGGTTAGCTTTCTTTTTTTCTGTAGGGTTTGAAAGGCTATACATTGTATGTTATCAAAATAATGTAAAGTGAATTACTTTCAATCAAATTAGCATCAGAGTGACTTTTAGAACTACCCCAAAGCTAATATTTCCAAGGGTGTAGTAACCTAAATTTCAGCACAAGTATTTTATGAATATTCTAGTTGCTGAATATCATTTTGGAAAAGTGTACAATCCATTGTACAATGATTTGTAAGTTTCTGGCCAACAGAATGGATTATAAAAATATATGTGAAATTTTAAAATGCCTCATATCCAATGTAGCAAAAACTCAGTTTTAAGGCAAGTAAATGTTTAACTCAGCTGAGTAGCATGGATTCAAATCTCAAAACTGTTATTACTTTTGAGCTTTTGGGATATATAAGTAGCCAGTATATTATTATATTGGATTTTCCCATGTACATACTGTCAAAAACATAAGAATACAATTTAGCATCTAGCCAGGAATATTTTAATTAAAAATATGAAGTACAAAAACACATATGTTCCATGTTGACAATAATAAAAGGGACACAGTTTCAAAATACAACACATCTCGTGCCTCAACTATAATGTCCCTGTTCTTTAAAGTCACACATTTATGCATACAACTTTATAGCCACAATAATGTACTAAAAGTCAATTATGTAACATCACTTATGCTTTCTTTTGGCAAGTAGAGATCTCTTTTCACAACCAATAAAAGGAAATGAGGCTTTCAAAGTTGCATATAAATAAAACTATTACAGAAATACAAATATAAGGCATATAGCTTCATGCAAAAATATATAACTACAGGCTTACTCAAAATACGTAGGATGTGATAAAAATATGTGATTGATTCTGCATATATATGTTATTTTTAGGTCAAATACATTATTTAATTCATATCTTTTAGTTCAAATATTGTTAGTTTAAATCACAGCTTTCACCTAGTTGCGATTCATGCTAATCTGAGGATGGTTAATTTTCTGTTCTTTTGTGATAGTTTAATATTGGCTATTATTTCATGCTGAAATCAATTGAGTAGAAAGAAGATAACCTTTTCATTCCATTAATTTTCTGTATGATTGATTTGTGCTTATGAATCAACTTTTAAAAAAAGACACTATAGAGCCATGTTGCTGGCTGTAATAGATATTTATAATAACATGTAGCCTACTTTATCTTTAATTATATTTTTCCCTAATGTTTCCTTGTTGTCCTTGGCAATTCCCTTTCTTTGCTAATGTGCTGGCTTTCAATGGAATATTGTAAAGCATAATAATGAGGTGGTTTGTTCAACTTAGAACCATTTTCTCTTTTAAGAGACTTTCACAAAATATCTCTTGCATGTAATTCTGTCTTGCTTTTCTGACTTTCACTCTATTTGCTCTTCTCGGTTACAGAAGAAAAACAAACAAAAATCCTCGAAGAGTTTCACCATTTATTTTTAACATGAACAAATTGAAGAAGGAAGATTATCTCTTCAATGAAAGAGTACTGTCTTCAATATATTTTGTGACGGAAAATGATTTGCAACTAATGACAAATTGGTTGTAATTATAAGTTAGACAATTATATCTATATATTTAAATTTATGTGCAGCTACCTATGCCAGTTCCTTTGATTAAAAGTATTTTTAAAATATTGCCTGTGCTTTAGAATATTCTTGAAAAATTATATACTAGGAGATGGTAGATTTATAATCAGAATGACAATAAGGATTCACTTAGGTTTATTTTATTTAAATAATTTATCAACCTTAGATATGGCCTCGAATGTAGCCCATTTCCTCCTAAGTATATACAATAATTTAGATGCTCTAGTTGAGGTCTTGCATTCCATGACAGGGATTTCAATTAAATGAAAACCTGCAAATCACCTGGAAAACCCCACATGTAACCAGTATTCTACCACTGTGTTCAGATCCACCTGACTCCCTTACTAAAACACCTATCTCACTGTCCTGTAGGTGAAATTATTTGTTGAGGTTTTATTTTTTCTGGTTTATAGGCTATGTTTCTCCTTAGAAAAGGACTGAGCATTCCGGTGCAATGCGGAATGCACAGTAAATGTTTAGTAAATGTTACTAATGGTCAAATGAATAGCTGAATAGATAAATTCCTGCTTGAGAAAGCATTAACCAACTTCTTAGAGGAAGTCTACAAAACATTATTAACTCAAAGTGAAAAGAGATATAGATTGCCTCTACTGGATAACACATTACAATTTTCAAAAGTTGAATGGAAATATATTAATTCCTAACTTTGATAGTAGAAATAATTTGGTATTTATATATTTTCACAAAATAATCGTTTCATTAAAAGATGGAGTTTGCTCTAGCAGGCCTTGAATCATATATCCTACAAGTAAAGTAGCTAAAACGTATGAAGAAAAACTGTAAAACAAATAAAATTTTACATTTTTGCCTCAGAAAAGAGTCTAGTTTTCCAAATAAAAAATGCATACTGAGAACTGGGTCTTAATTTTTCCCTTCCCTTATAATTTTTGAAGCATGTTATTTTGTTTTGAAAGAAAAATTTGCTTTTATAAACACAGTAGTAAAATAGTAAAGCAAATATCTACAAAATTAGCACTAAACAGAGTATCTTGTAGAGGTAGCATTACTTTTAAATAGTAAGCATAGGTAACAGAGAACCTGCATGTTCTCATTTTCTCATTTAGAAAGACCCTATATGTCATTGGTAAAAATCAACTTAGATTATTAGCAAATTTGAAGCCTCGATCTACATCGTTCTCTCTGCCTTAAACACATGAACATAAAAAAGTATGGGACCAAGGTGAGGATTTGGAGCTTGATTTTTTATCTTCTTGTAATTTCTTCCCACCAGTAAGTGTATCAAGAGCTACACTCCAAATTAGAATCTTAACAAATATTGGAGTTAAAAAAGAGCCAAAATATTGGGATTCAGTACACATTTTATTTGCTTTTTCATTTTTCCTTTGATATATTTTATGATGCCATGTATCCTTGTCTGAAAGCAGTCAAAGCATATTTTTTTTTCTGGCCCTGAAACTTCTCTCTTTAATATGCTCCATGCCTATTTTAAAATGTGTAAAGAAACACATGTGAAACACATTTGACTGCATATTACTTGTGCCAAATAACAAGTGGTAATAGAGTGCTTCCCCTGTGGGATACTAGATCGTCATCACTGACGTCTTAAAGCTCATAAAAATCATCATAAATTTAAGCATCATAGTTCAGGGTAGTTTAAGTCAGGAACTGCTCTTCATGCGAAAGTACCTTAGGAATTAATAAAAGTATTTTTTTCAGAAGCGGGAAGGTATGGAAAATAGTTCTTCTAGATGGTATTTTAAATATAAAGTTTATTTCTCTTTTTTCCTCTTCCCTTTTCTCCTCCTCTTTCATTCCTGAACTCCTCTAAAAAAGCCAGTGGGTGGTGCATCAGAAGATAGTCATTCACTCAAGGGGCAGGAAATGGGGAAGCGCTTCCTTTGCTTATAACATGTGTCAGACCTGATTGATAAGCACAGGCATTGGCTTGGGGCAGGGACACCCCATGCGGAAAGTCAGAATTCAGTAATATATAATATAATTGGAGAACAAAGTATCAATTCACATTATCTATTGATTACTGATCTGCTTTTCTAAATTAACATAAGTAAATCAAAGGAAATCTGCAATTATTGAAAGATGAACACAATTTTCTATGTATTCTAAATGATGAGGAAGTTGCATATGACATTCAATAGATCCTATAAATAATATTTTATGTAGGAGCCACATTACTGGAAAAAATTACTCTCTAAAAAGCACTAAAATAAAATGATTAGTCATTTTTTTGCTGGCAAATTAAACAAGTCTTGATTAAGACTGCTCACTTACCCATGAAATTTGCATGGATTTGAGATCCTGCAAAGAAGTGTAAAGTGTCAAATTATATATATTGAACTTTCTCAGCAAGTCAAGTTTTATTTAATATAAGCAATTACAGTTTAAATCATATCATAAAAATCCTCAGTGTGCAGAAGTACAACTCCAAAATAATATCTTCTCTTCACTTTGTATAAAAATGTGTCAGTATTTTCACAGCACCAGTTGTGTCACATAATGTTTTAATATAAAGCAGCTATTTTTGTAGGTCAATGCATTTCTTAAACCAGGGAGACAAATTTCATGCTACTTTATATCTTATATTCTCTTTCATTTTTCAAAACCAAAAATTAGTACATTCCAGGCTATTAATTTACTTTCCATGTAGTTTAAATTTTAGACCATTAAAATGCCAGGCACTCCAAGTTTGTGATTATCACTGCCTTCTTGACTTTCATTATCATAGTTCATGACAAGTAAAATGATTAGCAGCCTACCAATCTCATATGATGGTCATCATTGTAACAATTAGAACTGTACCAAGACTAGAATGACTAAAGTAGTACTTATTTAAATTTAAATAAATGACTTCCAAGTAACCTGTGAACTGTTAGTATGAGACTAAATAAACCTAGGCAACATAGGGAGAACTTGTCTTTACAAAAATTAAAACTTAGCTGGGCATGGTGATGCATGCCTGTAGTCCTAGCTACTGATGAGGCTGAGGTGATAAGATTGCTTGAATCCAGGAGTTTGAAGATGCAGTGAGCTATGACCGTACCACCATACTTCAGGCAGGGTAACAGAACAAGACTTCGTCTAAAAAAAAAAAAAGAAAAGAAAAAAAGAATATATAAGCACACTAGCATGTTGATGCTTCTTTTTCTTGCATTAGAAGCACGGTAGTATTAACTTATGAAGCTGGAGTAAGAGAAAGCCAAAACTTAAGGAAAAATTTAATTATCATCTCATATGTAATTAATGGTGATTGTCAGAGCAAAGAGCTAGGGAAGGAGTGGTGAGTATCTAGTGGTCACTGAGACCATGTGTATATATAAGTGGAAGAACTACATGGAAGGAAACAACTGTTTCCCATCCTCTTTCCTTTTCATATTTCACAAATTACTGGCCATGAGCATTTCTTGAGACAGATTGTATTTAAAATTTTTCATTGCTTTTTGGAGTTAATTCATAGAAATTCACTTTCAATATGTTTATATTGAACAAGTGTGAACAGATACAAAACAAACACATAATTTAAGAGTCTTAGAAATTCTGTGTCTAAAAAGTATGGCAGCCCCAAATCAGGCATTGATTCAACTACTAAACCAAGTAAAACTAGACAAAAATAAACATAATAAAACCTCTCATGAAGGCTATTATTAGCCACTGAAAACTGTACTATAAGACTACAAACTAATACGTGTACAATACGTATTACTGATTTGTAAAGAATAGATAATAAAATAATAGTTAAATTTATAGTGTGCTTACTATTTGACAGAAATTACTTTAAGGGCTTCACACACATTAGCTTACTAATAAAAAAACAACTCTTTTATAAAATATATAAAATATATAACATTAATTTATCTAAGATCACACAACTAGGAAATACTTGATAAAGAAAAGTATAGGTATTCCTATATTAGAACCTAGTGGAATGATGTTTCAGTTATATAACTGAATGACTTTACTGCTGAAGCTATTCTTTTTTCTCGAATTATTAGTGAAAAAAAACCTACAGGAAAACTGCCACAATGCAAACAAAATAATAATGTACCTTTACAGATTTGGGAACCCACAAGTGTGTTGATATTTATGTGTTCTGAATACAATGGTAGAGTGCTTAGAATGATATTAATTTATAATAAAGAGGCTGTAAAGACCATATAGTTCTCGAATTCTTACACTGAGACCTGTGATTCTTTTCAAATTGTGTATGAAAATGTATGTTTATGTTCTATTTTCCAGATAAGAATACGGACCTTTAATGAACTTTCAGTGCAATTAATAAGATAACATTATGAATTACTTATCTTAATATTCTTTTACATATGAAAAAACTGAAAGCAGAGAGAATTTTTTGGAAGCAAGAGTAAGATCTTGTAATGAACAAATCAGAATTATTCATATTAATTTTAAGTACTCAACATATAAACATTAAAAATATATATCTACTCATGCAAATTGTTAATAACATTTTCAGTGATTACATTTATTTGTGTCACCTTTTTCTTGAAAAGGCACCATAGCGAGTCCTGGATTCGTTAATAATTTTAATCTTGGTGTGTTAGCCATGCTGCAAAATACCTCCAATGACAGAGACGTTACACTTGGGTGACTTGCTATGCATAAACATCTAACTCATAAAGCTCTTGAATGGTGGGTATGAATTCTACCTTAGCTAATGTAGCCCAAATGGTTAATTAAAAACATCTTCTTGAGAAAAGGCCTCAAAATCATCCTCTAATGGAGAAAAAATCAACATCAGAAAATATATGGATTGTTTTTAAAAGCATACACATTTTTCCAATGGGTAGAAAGTAATCAGCTTTTCGGTCCTTCTAAAAATGAATATTTAGATATCAAGTCAATTTAATATTCTGGAAAGACTTTGCTACTTAAAATACATACATTTAAGAAATACATATACTTATCATTTTATTTTCATCTATGGGTTTTTAGGCTCACTGGAGTCTGATGTTAAAATTGTCTGGTCTTGAGTCACTGTCTATTTCTGTAATATTATTGCGGTCTCCGTGCCCAGGATTTTAGTGTTCACAATAACACTGAACAAAGATATAGCTTCATTCTATTTTTCATGGAAATGAAATTGTCCAAAAAAGATTTAAAATACAGTTTTCATTGTGCATGTCCACTGAATTGTCAAAGATATCTTAAGAATTGGCCATTTATTCAATATGTAGAATAGCCTCTCGTTTTTGTGCCTCAAGGCCACTAGAACATATAGTTGTAAAAGGAGATTTTCTCATACTAAAATGTGAGAACTTCTAATGCAGTGTGCCTTTAAAAAATAGATGTATTTTTGTCCCATTTTGAAGAAAGCAACTATTTTCTAAATATTATGTTTAGAGTCCATTTCCATGTTGTAAAGCTCCCAAGTACTTCTGAAAGAGGATCTCTTGCCATTTATGATATTGGAGCCTAATTCAAAACCTTTTTACAGTGAAAAATAGCATACCATAAGGTAATAGAAAAAAATTCTTGAAGCTCAATGCATTTTTCCATTTTTAGTCCACTTTTCTAAAAGAAATACATTTTCTGTCCATTTATTTCCAAACATGTTACTTGCTTTTCATTCCTTTTTGCCTCTTTCTGAGCAATCTTCAAGGAACCCACGGAAGTACCTAATTGAGTAAGATATTATGCAAGAGTAAATTAAATAAATGCCTCCAGAAAGCCAAAGTAGACTAGAGTAAATTCAGAAATTCTTGAATATCAGTTGAACTGATTAATGCTTTGGTAATTCTTTGATTGATCTACTCACTGAAAATAACATTCTTGGATACTAAAAAAAAATCATTAATGTGTAAAATTTTCACAAGTAATTTTCCTTCCCTTTTTCTTTAAGTTTTCTATTTTTATGACCTCTTGTACATATTCACATTTATTGGTTCATCATTCATTCATCTCTTCTACATATTCATTGGTTCTTTTTTAAATAACAGATTTATTGAGAGAAAATTCATACACGTTATTTTTCTGTCTTACTACTTCCAAGAATCACATTTTTGAGAGTCTCATTTTTGTTGTGTCTAGGCCTATGTCTCTTCAAGTTTATCCTCTTCGGTTCATTAAGCTTTTTAGATGTAGATGAAAGTTTTTTATCGAAATTGAAAAAATTTCAGCTATACTTTTTCAACTATTTTCCTGCCCTTTTTCTCTTTTCAGTAGATGTTAGTAAGCTTCATGGTGTCACACAAGTCACTGAGAGTTTTCTTTTCATTTCATTCTTGCTTCTTTCTGTTTCTCCAACTAGATAATCTCAATTGATCTCTCTTCTTATTTGGGGATTCTTTCTGCTGTAAGTTTAAATCTTCTGTTGAGCCACTATAGTGAATTTTTCATGTCAGTTACTTCATCTTTAAACTTCAGAATTTAAACATTAGACTTTCCATTTAGTACTTTATACAAAATAATTTCTATCCATTTATTTATATTCTTTATTGGTGAAACATAGTTCTTATTACTTCCTTTAATTTTTTAGATATAATTTCTTCTGGTTTTTACACACATCTTTAATAACTGTTTAGGTCTTTGTCTCATAAGTCCAATGTCAGCACATAATTAGGAGTAGTTCCTATTGACTGTTTTTCCTGTGTATGAGCCATACTTTCCGGATTCTTTGTGTATCCTACAGTGTTTTGTTGAAAACTAGACATATTAAGTATTTTGTTGGTGCTAAAGTAATTGCAATTTTTGTCACTACTTTTAATGGCAGAAAACCGCAATTACTTTTCCATCTACTAAAGTAATATAATATGAAAACCCATGGAAGCAAGTCCTTCTCCCCACGGTTTGTCATTGCTGCTGTTTGTTGTTGTGGTCATGGTGGTGGTTTCTGATTATTTAATGACTTTTCTGGACTACTATAAAATCAGTACGTTTTGTTGTGTGCAGTCACTGAAGTCTTTGCTTAATTAGCTTGATATTAATTTAATGATTACACAGTCCCTTAAATGCTTGAAACCAGCAGGTCAAATAGCAGTTAGTATTTGGTGAGGAATTCTCTGCGTGTGTCAGAGCATACTTTCACCATTTCAACAGGTGTTTTAAAACCTTTAGACAAAAAAATTATTGAGATACAAAGGCTTAAATTCAGCCAGAGGTGAAAAGGCCTTCTTAGGTCATTCTTGGGGATTTTTTTAGCACTGTACATGTGCATGACTTCTAGACTCTCAGAATATATTAGAGATTTTTGAAGCTCTCTCTTGTCCTCTCATGTCCCAGTTTTCCCTTTTACATTTTCAGATAAGTCCCTTATCAGCTTCATGTGGAAATGGCACCTTAGGAAGCTGCATTGTTAAATAATTATGCTATTTTTTGTTTCATCTTTTTTTTTTTTTTTTGACAGACACCTTCTGGATAACACTGTCCACATAGATTGATTTCTGACTCAGGTCAAATAAAGAGAAACAAAGACTTTCAGTGAGCTTCCAGGTCAAATAATGACAATTCTGGGGCTGAGGTTTATGAGTGGTTGAAATTCTGTCCTTTTCAACAGCTGTTAAGCTACTGCTTTACAGCTATCAAATTTGTTACACTGTTTTTTTGTTGTTGTTGTTGTTTTTGTTTTTGTTTGAGACAGAGTCTTTCTCTGTCCCCCAGGCTGGAGTGCAGTGGCACGATCTCGGCTCACTGCAAGCTCTGCCTCCCGGGTTCACGCCATCCTCCTGCCTCAGCCTCCCGGGTAGCTGGGACTACAGGCACACGCCGCCACGCCCGGCTGATTTTTTTGTTTTGTTTTGTTTTGTTTTTTGTTTTTTTAGTAGAGACGGGGTTTCACCGTGTTAGCCAGGATGGTCTTGGTCTCCTGACCTTGTGATCCGCCTGCCACTTTTGGCCTCCCAAAGTGCTGGAATTATAGGTGTGAGCCACCGCACCTGGCCTACACTTTGCTTTTTAAAGGCTACTACTTTACTGGGAGAAAGGGAGCTAAAAGTGCAAGTTAGAACACCGTAGAGCTCACCGTTGTTTCCAAGATTCACACATTTTTTTTTCCTTTGAATGAACACTCCTAAAATTCTTAAACTTAATTTTTGAGTTCTAAAAATTTGTTTACTATGGTTTTTGCCTTTCTTTCAAGTTTTGTGGAAGAGAATATTTTTGGAATTTCTTGCTCTGCCATTCCAGAGGTCTTCCTCCCCATTGATTCTTCTTTCAATAAACATTTAGGAATAGTAATATGTTTTTTCTATATGAAAAAACTGTATTGTACTATACAGCTTTATTTTAGCCCCTATGGTGATTAAAATTTACAAAGATTTGTATTTCTATAAAAAGTCATATTTTAGTTGCTTCTTCACATCATACTTCTTACTAGTCCGTTCTTGTTTTCTTTTAATAAAACATAATCATAATTTTATTTAATCTAACAAACACTTGAAAGGAGAGCTTAGAACTGAGTGACCAAATGTATAAACTGTAGCATTAAAGTAATATGTGTGTTGGAAATTTATAAATATTTTTTAGGGTTTTCATTAAGTTAAATAGGGCCTATCCCAAAGGATGTACTTTTGACAAAATGAGAAGAGAGAGAAAAATGGAAAATCAAGATTATAACTGACTGAGAAGTTAATAGAATAAACACAGATAAGAAAACTTCTTTTTAAAAACAACAAAGAATTATTTAAAACTTCTGCTAATTAAAGGAAACCACAGAATAGTCTTCTTTCTTAATTTCTTAGAATAGGGCCACAATAAGACATAAAAGCCAATAAGGAAAATATTTCCCAATTCTTCAGTTTGAATGTTATTTGCATAAATTTGCATTTTCCAAACCGCTTGTCTTCATTAAAAATGTATGAATGTGAATGCATAACTAATCTTAGCTAACTGCTTTAACTTGACCTGTGAAATATATGACTGTGTAAATAATGCTATAACATACCAAATGAATGGACTTCTAAAAAAAAATCACTTTCATGTCACATTATTGCATTTCAGATTTAAAGGCTTCTGTAAGCTCTTAGAATATATGAACTCTTATATAGATATAGATAGAGAAACAATATGTAAACTCAGAATATACAAATTGGGCCTGAGGCACAGTCATTTTTCAATTCTTTTTTAAAAATTAGTTAAATTTTTGTGAGAGGCCTTATTTGTCATTGCTTCACCTGCAATAGGTATTTCTCATGTTTACTCATAAACAAAGACATAGAACTATCTTGAGACCTATCTTACAATAACAAAGTATAGTCCCTTAACCACTTTATTAGTTTCCGTTTATTTTATTTTGCATAAATTTAGAAAACATCTTAGAGTGTGGAATATACTTAACACATATTATTTAATTTTTCAAAGATTGTAATATTTTGTGTAAAAGAAATAGATGTTTTTAATAGCTCAGCCTCTTACAACCATGAGTCTGACAAAAGCCTGAATATTTGGCCTATACCGAATGACAATTATTTGTCCTGATGATTTGGGTGCATCCTAGTTATGGGTAGGAATTCTTCAGCATCAATCAATCTTTTCTTGTGATCCCATTTAGCACTAAAAGGCATGATGTCCTCAAAGACACTGAATAAATGGCCAATTGCTAGCAATGATACATGTAGACCTTACTGTATTGTATTTTTTATATATTTTACTTGCATTTTTAATGAAACTTCTTTCACATCAACTTTAAATTACAGAAAACTTGTATTCTAGTTCACACTACTACTTTGTGACTGTAGCATCTTGATAAATTCACATAAATTTTGGAAGATTATTTTACTTTTAAAATTTATGTTTATTTAAACTACATTTGGTAGATCTCATGTGAAGAAGTTAGCTTAAAAGGTAGGACATGGTAATTTTTTTAGCTGTAAAGTGTCATTGTTATTTTTTAATAATAAATATATATTATACACAAATAGAAACATGAAAACAATTTTAAAAATTATTTTATTCTTTTGAGAGGGTATTACTCTTTTCAGTTACATGTGATCTTTAGGAACATGTTTTACAGAGTAACATCAAGATTGTCAAAGATATGTCTGCTGAGGGGTCAGTTAGCATGCCAGCCTTTTTATATTCAAATGTGGAATCATCCTATCACTTAAAGCAG
Organism: Homo sapiens; assembly: GCF_000001405.40. NCBI lineage: Eukaryota > Metazoa > Chordata > Mammalia > Primates > Hominidae > Homo > Homo sapiens. Next base: position 18,858,646 of record NC_000005.10, on the reverse strand, counting down.
TCTGTGCTTTCTGTGTCCATAAGAATAAACTGAAACACCTCTTTAGTTAGGCAAAGGTAACGTCACACAAACAAACAAATAACATCAAATAAGAAACAGGCAGAATCTTTAGTGCTTAGTGACTTACTGATAATGGCTCTTTCAAAGACACAGGCAATACAGATCTTACAGTTTGGGATATAGGTTATCAAAATGCATATGGATCTCAGAAATCTGATGCTTTTGGAAATTCAAGACTTGTTAAAGAGAATTGTGTCACCTAAATCAAGGCAAATTGATAGGGGAAAGGGGTTGAATTTGATGATCTATGTCTAACAAAAGGCCAGGGCACTTCAAAGGGAGGGCTTGTTCAGCACAGCATGATATTCGGCAAAAGTGATCTTGTCATTGTGAAACCTAGGAACCAAGCATGAATGAGACACCACACTAATAGCTGGCTCAGATTTCACATCTCCCCTTATTTGGAACAGGGTCAAGTATAATTCAGATTTCATTTTAATACTCCTCTTCATTTATTTATTTTTCTGTATGTATGTATTTCTTTATGGTTTTGGTTTTTTGTTTTGTTTTGAGATGGAGTCTCACTCTGTTGCCCAGGCTGGAGTGCAGTGGCACAATCTCAGCTCACTGCAACCTCTGCTTCCCGAGTTCAAGCAATTCTCCAGCCTCAGCCTCCCAAATAGCTGGGACTACAGGTGCACCACCACCTCCAGCTAATTTTTGTATTTTCAGTAGATATCAGGTTTTACCACATTGGCCAGGCTGGTCTCAAACTCTTGACCTCACATGATCCACCTGCCTTGGCCTCCCAAAGTGCTGGGATTACAGGCGTGAGCCACCACGCCAAGCCTCCTCTGCATTTAGAAACAATCCACTATACAGGACTAAGAAATTGTGTCTTTTGGTAATAGAACAACTAAGGGCTGAAGTGATGAAAAGTAAATAAATAAAATACCATATGAGTTTAAATCCTCAAACAGAAGGAGTTTATGCCAAGTATACATGTTATGCAATTCAACAAACCATGTCAGTATGATTTTCCTAATCTCAGAATATATAATATGTAAAGCAGTTTCCATGTGGACCAGTATCAATCCCAGGAGAGGACTCGAAACTCCTTCCTAATACTGTGCATGTATATCAATTCACCTGCATAAGTCCAGCGACAGAGAACACCCACACAGTAAGTTATTACTTACAGATAGGCAGTGATGGATAACAGAAGTCTAGGATTCATGGTGAGCCAGTCCACCAGGGCTCAGGAAAGTTGCCTAGGACAGTGGAGTCTAATCTGCACACACCCCATGTCACACAGTAACTGAGAGACTCTGAAAGTATGTTCTGCTCTGTGTTTTATTTCCAGGGTGACTTGACACTCTGGGCTAAAGCATTGCAAGTTCTGCTGTTCTAAGAAAGATGGAAACAGAGCAGCCTGGGCTGTTCCAGCCAGTTTCTCTTTATCTCAGAGTGTTCCATTCCCAGCATATTCTACAATTGTTCTTGAGAATTATAAGCAGGAAAGAGAAGAAGAGTTTGGGTCATCTGGCGACTTCTCCTGCATGACACCGTGGAACTTATTTTCACAACACTCTTATAAGAAGGCAAGACAAAAAAGCCCTTCAGGCAATAACTTGGAATCTGTGAAGGGTCAACATTGCTCTTGGTTTTCACTTCCCTCGTCTTTCCTCATTATTAGAATACATCAACAAAATAAAAGTTAAGCTTGTTATCCTCTTGTAAGGAAAATATTTCCCAATGATCTCCTTCCACTCTATGTTTCACATCCAGGTCATGCTGATGCAAGGGGTGGCTCCCATGGTCATCAGGAGCTCTGCCCGAGTGGCTTTGCAGGGTACGGCATCGCCCCCAGCTGCTTTCATGGGTTGGTGTTGAGTGTCTTTGGCTTTTTCAATTGCACGGTGTAAGCTGTTGGTGGATTTACCATTCTGGGGTCTGCAGGATGGTGGCCTTCTTCTCACAGCTCCAACTAGGCCATGCCCCAGTGTGCATTCAACACCATGTGGAAAGTGCCAAGGCTTGGGGCTTGCACGCTCTGAGGCCACAGCCCGAGCTGCACCTTGGCCCTTTTAGCAATGACTAGAATGGCTAGGACTCAGGGTACCAAATTCCTAGGCTGCACACAACAGCGTTGGCCCATGAAACTGTTTTTTCTTCCTAGGCCTCTGGGCCTGTGATGGGAGGGGCTGCCACAAAGTTCTCTGACATGTCCTGGAGACATTTTCCCCATTGTCTTATCAATTAACATTTGGCTTCTTGTTACTCATGCAAATGTCTGCACCCTGATTGAATTTCTCTTCAGAAAATGGATTTTTCTTTTCTATCACCTAATCAGGCTACAAATTTTCAGAATTTTTATGCTCGGTTTCCCATTTGAAACTGAATGCTTTCTCTCACCTGTAATCCCAGCACTTTGGGAGGCCAAGGTGGGCGGATCACGAGGTCAGGAGATCGAGACCATCCTGGCTAACACAGTGAAACCCCGTCTCTACTGAAAAAAAAAAAAAAATTAGCCAGGTGTAGTGTCGGGCTCCTGCAGTCCCAGCTACTCGGGAGGCTGAGGCAGGAGAATAGCATGAACCCAGGAGGCAGAGCTTGCAGTGAGCCGAGATCACCCCACTGCACTCCAGCCTGGGCAACAGAGCAAGACTGTCTCAAAAAAAAAAAAAAAAAAAAAAAACCCGAATGTTTCTAACAGCACCCAAGTCACCTCTTGAATGTTTTGCTGTTTAGAAATTTCTTACGCCAGATACCTTAAATCATCGCCCTCAAGTTTAAAGTTCCGCAGATCTCTAGGGCAGGAGTAAAATGCTGCCAGTCTGTTTGCTAAAACATAGCAAGAGTCACCTTTACTCCAGTTCTCAACAAATTTCTCATCTTTATCTGAGACTACCTCAGCCTAGATTTCATTATTCATATAATTATCAGCATTTTGGTCAAAGCCATTAAACAAGTCTCTAGGAAGTTCCAAACTTTCCCACATCCTCCTATCTTCTAAGCCCTCCAAGGCTCTAGAAAGCTCCAAACTTTTCCACATTATCCTATCTCCTTCTGAGGTTTCCAATCTGTTCCAACTTCTGCCATTTACCCAGTTCCAAACTTGCTTCCATATTTTTGAGTATCTTTACAGCATCACCCCACTTCCAGTACCAATTTACTGTATTAGTCAGTTTTCACACTGTTGATAAAGAAATACCCCAAACTGGGCAATTTATAAAGAAAAATACTTAATGAACTCACAGTTCCACATGGCTGGGGAGGCCTCACAATCATGGCAGAAGGTGAAAGGCATGTCTTACATGGCAGCAGACAAGAGAGAATGAGAAACAAGCAAAAATGGAAACCCCTTATAAAACCATCAGATCTCATGAGACTTATTCACTACCACGAGAACTCTATGGGGAAAACTGCCCCCATGATTCAATTTTCTCTCACCGGGCCCCTTCCACAACACATGGGAATTATGGGAGCCCCAATTCAAGATGAAATTCGAGTGGAAACGTAGTCAAACCATATCACTAGGACATATTATGCTTTTAATAAATACTGAATAAATGAATGAATGATATCAGAAAGAATATCTGTTTTTCAAACTTGTCAAATACAGTGAAAATTACATATTCCACAAGAAAAACTGTTTTACTTACTATCTTGATAACTAATAATTTGTATCTAGTTAATTTAAATATAAATATATATATATTTGACTTACCTCCACTGATAGAGTGTAATTCTTATTACCTGTGTTGCTGAGAGGCATGGAAAACAATCTCAGTAGTATCACATTCAAGACTTAGAAATAATAGAAGGTTGTTCAGAACAGAATGACAGCACTAGTGTCCCAATGACCAGTCCAGTTTGTCATTCCAGACTGTCAGCCCTCTATTTTTGTATATATCACCTTGAGAACTAACTTTTCTCTACCAGCAAACAAACAAGCAAGAAAGAAAAGAAGAGAGAGAGAGGAAGGAGAGAGGGAGAAAAGAACATATTTCTTATTTTAAAACTCACAGTAAAGTTCTTGTTCAATTAAATTATGTCTAATATATGTTGATTACCCATGGCTCAAAACTTGGAGATGTTTGTAATCAAAATGTATTCTTGTTACAGGAACTCAAATAAATAAAATTGAATTTTATTCTCAACATAATATTTTATCTAATATTATTATAAAAAGGCATTTGTCTGTTTTTTGTATTTTTTTTTTCTGAGTAAGGCAAGCTCTCAGAACATTATGACTTGGAAAATAATTGCATGCAAATTATTTTTGCTATTCTGTAAATATATTGATCTTAAAGCAACTATCCGTTGAGGATTGTATGATAAAGTGTGAATACATGTCTGAAAGCACAGGGAGAGGGAACTGAGCATATGTTTCATTCAATCCTTTAGTTGGGAAAGAATAACAAAGTGATATATTAGCCTTATTACTCAGTGGCTGCTTATCTCAATTCACTGTAATAAAATTACCCAAATGTAAGTTAAGAATATTTTGGAGAAAGACTTTTCTTCATGACTTTCTTTGCTTCACTATCACATGAAACAAAAACCTTTTTTTTTTTTTTTTTTCTGAGACGGTGTCTCACTCTGTCGCCCAGGCTGGAGTGCAGTGGCATGATCTCGGCTCACTGAAACTTCTTCCTCCAGGTTTCAAGCAATTCTACTAAACAAAAAACTTGTAAGGAGTTACTTTGGTTTAAAGATAAAGCTAAGTAGTTTAAAAATGCCCAAGGAAAAGACAGAAGTCATTTGAACTCTTAATAATTAAGGCATTAACCCTTAATTAAACCTGAAATTAAGGTATTAAGTAGTATAATATATATAATTTTATACAAAATTAAATATAGTGTAGAATTTGAAATGTACAGAAATCATCATTTACAAAACAAACAATTATGACTTTCAAGATAGATTAGCTCTTTCAAATGTTGAACTACAGTAACAGTTATGTCATCTCAAATTGTTTAAGCAGCATCTTATGTGGACCCAAAATGAGACCATGCACCAGAAAAAATCTGTTGTTAACAGAAATTATTTTCATACATACACATTTTAAGGATTGCCGACTATTCTAGCAACTTGCCTGGTGTACAAAGCTATGAGTAATAGGACTAATTCCTTCCTAACCAAACCATATGTGTGTATTTTTCCCTAACTTTCTCCAGCTAAAAAATAGCTCCATATATGTTTAAAAAAAAGCTAAGCTTTTCCATTAATATGTAAAATGCAAAGATTAAAAAACATGTTTCATATAATTAACAACAAATGATATTTTTCTAGTAATGAATAGTTTATGCTAGTAACAAATTTGTTAAAATAGTATAAATACTGTGAAGCAATAATTTTAACATATCTACTTATGAGTTCTACATACATTCAGTCCAATTCCCTGACCAGAAAATTAATATTTACATTTTGAAATTTCTCTGCCTAGACCTTATTTTTGCCTTTTTGTTTTAAATAATGATTGTCTTTTCAAAAAAAATAAGAAATATAAAAATCATATCAAGAACAACTTTAAACAAGCCAAAAAAGCCTGAAATGACATTTCAACCATTACAAAAGAGCATTCCAGATGGTTTATTATGCTTTTAGAAAATAGACAAATAGAAAGGAACTAAGAAATGATGAAAGCAAGAAAGAAAAATCAACAAAAAGAAGGTATTTTATTTAAAACTGGGCCATGAGTGATGATTTTAATATAAACTTTATTTAGCATACTTGAATTTAAAGGGAAAAAACTAGTAAATTCTATTTTTTAAAAAAAATTAACTGTACAAATAAATATCTGTTCTTCTTAAGACATACTTCTTCCATAAAAGATACCTCAAAATTTAAGAAGAATTTTTTTTTTTAATATTGAGAGTTTGGAATTTTGCTGTTGTGATTGCTGTTATTTTGAAACAGGGTTTTACTGTGTCACCCAGGCTGGAATGCGGTGGTGTGATTATGGGTTACTGAAATTTCTGCCTTTCGAACTCAGATGGTTTTCCCAACTCAGCCTCCTGAGTAGCTGGGAATACAGATGTGTCCCACCACTCCTGGCTCCTGGCTTTTTTTTTTTTTTTTTTCGGAGAGAGGGGATTTTGCTGTGTTTCCCAGGCTGGTATAGAACTCTTCAGCTTAAGTGATCTGCCTGCCTTGACCTCTCAAAATGCTGAGTACAAGCATAAGCCACCACACCCATCCTGGAAGTTTTAATATTTCAAGTAGAGCTAGCATAACCTGTGCTAAAAGATAAATTAAGGCACAATAAAATGTTAAAGAGTTTATTTGAATAAACCTTGATTCATGAATTGATCAGCTCCAGCTCCTAACCAGAAGTGATTTGGGAGCTCCAATAGATGCTTTTAAATGACAGACATGGAAGTAAAGCCAAGGAAAGATTTCATTGGTTACAGTTATGCAATTGTCTTTATTTTGTCTATGTTGCTGAATAGGTTCTTGTTATGTAAGTTAGTTGGCAGCTTCTGACTGATAGAGTCTAAGTTTTATTTTTCCTTAATACAAGCATTTACAAGACATGGCCCATGTTTAAGTTTTGCTGTGCTTGCAAGTTAAGCCATGCTAAGGTTATTTTCAAGGCCTAACTGGCTTTTTCTGCTCACAAATTCTCCAGACCTTGTCTCCATTTTAATTTACTTAACACCTGCACAATCTTGTACTTTATTTTATTCCTCCAAGGTTATTGACATTACTGACGTACTTAAGATGTATATTTTTGGTTAATTTTCATTACCATGGTTCCTTAGTTTTATTTCTGTTTATTTAGTTTAGATTCTAATGATTGCTTTATTTTTCCATTATTTGATTGTTTTAATTGTCAAAAATGTGTTTTGTTTGTCTCTTTATTTATCTCTCTCTTTCTTTTTTTTTTCCAGAAAGGCCTATCGGTTGTTTATTTCTTCTCTTATTTTTTATTTTGATATCAAGAGTGAGGGTACATTTTAATGCTTGAATAACATTTAATACCTGAATGTATAGGTCTTGAGTAACATCTTACCTCTTATTTTCTTCAGAATCTCGTAGCTATAACACTATTATCTGCCATCATTAAACACTTCTGTGGATAAATCTGAGGCTACTCTGACACTTCCTTCTTGTACATAACTTTCTCTTCTTTCCTGTATGCCAGATAATACCTAATTCTCCAATTTCAATTACATCACCAGGTTATTTATTGGGCCAAATTGTTCCACAAATTGTAATTTCTGGAACACTGTTTATTCTGTCATTGTGCAAATATATTATAAAATTTCTGGGAAATCTTCATCCGTTTCTCATGAATGACTTTTGTTAATTCTATTGAAGTTTTTACATCACAGATAACAGTTATTCTCATCTTGGAACATCTCTGTTCTCTTCATCTATTGTGATTCATCGAACTGCTTTGATCTGGGCCTTTTTCCTCTGAATTCACGTAATTTTAATAGGCATTTTCTCCACTGTGTCAGTGATTCTATTTTCAGCCACATCTGTTCTGTTTTGTTCTGTTTAGAGTGCATTTACTATTTTTGTACTGTGGTAATTTTGTCCCTCAATTTGTTTCCACAGCTCTTCAGTCACCATTTTCATCTTCCTGGGTTGTATTGCCATCTGGTTTTTACACACTTGTTTGATAAATTAATGCTTCTATTAAGTACTTAGACAGTAAGTCCCTTGTGGAGGATTTACTTCTATTCATTTGACAATGATTTACTCTTGTCTAAGATAGTCACTTATCTTTTGCCAATTATATTCTTTAATTTGCTTATTTTTAAATATTGTTTATATAGTTGCTAAACCTCTCTACCTTGCTAACATAACTTTTTATAGAAATTTATAGAATCTTCTTTTTCTATCTCTTTACCTAAATTTAGCTTTTTTTCCCATCTGAAAATGTGGCTTTGTTGACATTGGTTTTTTAGACTGAGTGTGAGGTAAAAGAGGAGGTCTCAGCTTCAGTTATTTTCTAATAGAACTGGGTCCTACAGTACTGATGCAGGCAAATCCCCAAATTGGTGCTCAGCCAGGGCAGGGAGGTCCTTGGCTTCACACAAAAAAGAATTCAAGAGCTATCCAACAAAATAAAGGAAAAGTGAGTTTATTACAGCAACAGAACACAGAAAAATGGCTGCTCCATAGACAGAGTGGCTGCAATGTTCCACGTGGACTGCTGGCTAGCTGTATTTATGGCTATTCCTTGATTAGATGCTAAATAAGGGGATGGTCATCTGGAAAAAGGGTGTGGAGTTCCCAGAACTGAGGGTTTCTCTCCTTCTAAACCATATAAGGTAACTTCCAGCCGTTGCCATGGCATTTGTAAACTGTCATGCCATGAATGGGAGTTTCTTTTAGCATGCTAATGCATTATAAGTACTATATAATGAGCAATGAAGAAAACTAGTTAAAAGTCACTCTCATCCCCATCTTGGTTTTAGCTGTTTGGGGCCTGTTTCTTTGCTGCATCTGTTTTCATCAAATTCTATTTTGATCAGCAGGGTCTTGTAACCAATGCTGAGAAAACAAGTTCTCCTGCTGATTCCCTACTTCAGTGTTACATAATATTATGTAATGTGTTGTTAAAGTCCACTACAATAGTATTTTTAAGCAATAACCATTTCTATAGAAACTACAATGAGATTTTATTAAAATGCCAATGGATGCCCTTGAATCTACTTTTATTGCAGGCTGCCAGGTGATGCCAGTGTTACTGGTCTTATAATCATATTTTGAGTGTCAACAATCAAAAACAGTTCACTGCACTGAACAAAGGGAAAAGCAAATCACACTGGTGACACTTCCTACCCATTTGATGTATTTTTACTATTCATTGATGATTCCTGGAGTTTATGCTTTGACCAGGAAAGTTTAGCCTCATGACCTACTCTCAGTGAAAACATACCTCCCCCGGCCTTGTCCGTTCCCTGCTTGCTAGAGATGGAAAAGATGAAGATCTCCTCTGAGGTAGCTTCTAGATAATTTGGTGTCACTCATACGGATTCTAAAAGATAAGATAACACTGCATTATCTCCTTTTGAGTTAGAGAAGCACAAGATTAGTTTTCCCTTAATTCTGTTTCTGACACTGATCTTCAATTTTTAAGTTTAAAATATGTGAGTGCGACATTCTCCTTGTTTGCTATGTATTAATGCTAAATCTAATTTATTTATTTTGTGGATTGGTTAGTTCATTATTCTCATAAATACTAATTCAATGACTAAGCCCCATTCTAAGTCTTCATTGTAAAACAAAAATCATTTTTCATGTCTTTTGAATGCATGCATTTGTTCATATACACATATATAGTTGGGCAATAATGATATTATACATACTGGTTTTATTCTTTTTACTTAAGTGGGTGTTCATGACCTTTCCAGAAGAGTATATATAAATATACTTTGTTCCTTTTTAATGGCTATTATATCAACTTTTGAAGCTTGAAGTTCATTTAATGATAGTCATTTTGGTGATTTAAAATTTAAATCAATGCAAAAAAAAGCATTTTACATTCTAGTTTTGTGAACACTCAATTACTTTTAAAGAATATATTTTTACAAATAAAAATCTTAGTCAAATGTAAACACATGGTACAATATCATAGCCACTACTCAAGAAAATGGGCTGAGATTTGCAAAGGTTTCTGTAAGTTTGAGCATACCTTGCTTCACACAAGTGAACATTCAATAATGGCAGTGGAGTCAGGGCAAGATGATATGGTTTGGCTCTGTGTTCCCACCTAAACCTCCTCTTGAATTTTACTCCCGTAATTCTCACATGTTGCAGGAGGGACCCTGTGAGAGAAATTGAATCATGGGGGCAGTTCCCCGCCTGGTGTTCTCACGGTGGTGAATAAGTCTCATGAGATCTGATGGTTTTATAAAGGGTTTCCACTTTCACTTCTTCCTCATTCTCTCTCTTGCCACCACCAAGTAAAAAGTGACTTTCACCTTCTGCCATGATTGTGAGGCCTCCCTAGCCACGTGGTACTGTAGGTCCATTAAACCTCTTTCTTTTTTAAATTGCCCAGTGTCAGGTATGTCTTTATCAGCAGCATGAAAACAATGTACTAATACAGTAAATTGGTACCAGTAGAGTGGGGCACTGCTGAAAAGATACCTGAAAAAGTGGAAATGACTTTGGAATTGGGTAACAGGCAAAGGTTGGAACGGTTTGGAGGGCTCAGAAGAAGACAGAAAAATGTGGGAAAGTTTGGAACGCCTTAGAGACTTGTTGAATGCTTTGACAAAAATGCTGATAGTGATATGCACAATGAAATCCAGGCTGAGGTGGTCTCACATGGATATGAGGAACTTGTTGGGAACTGGAGTAAAGGTGACACTTGCTCTATTTGACTGGCAGCATTTTGCTCCTTCCCTAGAGATTTGTGGAACTTTGAACTTGCAGGAGATGATTTAGGGTATATGGCAGAAGAAATTTCTAAGCAGCAAAGCATTCAGGAGTGACTTGAGTGCTGTTAAAGGCATTCAGTTTCAAAAGGGAAACAGAGCAAAAAAGTTTGAAAAATTTGCAGCCTGACAATGCAATACCAAAGAAAATTCCATTTTCTGAAGAAAAATTCAAGCAGGCTGCAAAAATTTGCACATATAATGAGGAGTCAAATGTTAATCACCAAGACAATGGGGAAAATGTCTCCAGGGCATGTCAGAGACCTTTGCAGCAGCTCCTCCCATCACAGGCCCAGAGGTTTATAAGGAAAAAATGGTTTTGTGGGCCTGGCGCAGGGTCCCTCTGCTGTGTGCAGGCTAGGGACTTGGTGTCCTGTGCCCCATCCACTACAGCTGTGACTGAAAGGGGCCAAGGTATAGCTCAGGCTGTTGCATCAGCAGGTGGAAACCCCGAGCCTTGGTAGCTTAGATGTGGTCTTGAGCCTGCAGGTGCACAAAAGACAAGAGTTGAGGTTTGGGAACCTCCACTTAGATTTCAAAAGATGAATGGAAAAGACTGGATGCCCAGGCTGAATTTTGCTGCAGAGGCAGGGTCTTCATGGAGAACCTCTACTAGGGCAGTGAAGAAAGGAAATGTGGGGTCAGAGCCTCCACACAGAGTCCCTACTGGGACACCACCTAGTAGAGCTGTGAGAAGAGGGCAACTGTCCTCCAGACCCCAGAATGGTAGATCCATGAACAGCTTGCACCACGCACCTAAAAAGCCACAGACACTCAACACTAGCCCATGAAAACAGCCAGGAGGGGGGCTATGCCCTGCAAAGCCACAAAAGGGGAGCTTCCCAAGACAATGGGAACCCACCTCTCGCATCAGCATGACCCCAATGTAAGACATAGAGTCAAAGAAAACATTTTGGAGCTTTAAGATTTAACTGCCCCACTGAATTTGAGACTTGCATGGTGCCTGTAGCCATTGCTTTTGGCCAATTTCTCCATTTGGAATGGCTGTATTTCCCCAATGCCTGTACCCCATTGTATTTAGGAAGTAACTAACTTGCTTTTGATTTTACAGGCTCATAGGTGGAAGGGACTTGCCTTGTCTCAGATGAGATGTTGGACTGTGGACTTTTGAGTTAATGCTGAAATAAGTCTTTGGGGGACTGTTGGGAAGGCATAATTGGTTTTGAAATGTGGGGACATGAGATTTGGCAGGAGACAGGCATGGAATGATATAGTTTGGCTCTGTGTCTTCACCCAAATCTCATCTTGAATTGTACTCCCATAATTCCCATGTGTTGGGGGAGGGACCTGGTGGGAGATAATTGAATCATGGGGGCAGTTTTCCCCATACAGTTCTCATGATAGTGAATAAGTCTCATGAGATCGGATGGCTTTATAAGGAGCTTCTGCTTTTGCTTCTTCCTCATTCTCTTTCTTGCCACCGCCATGTAAGAAGTGCCTTCTGCCATGATTGTGAGGCCACCCTAGCCATGTGGACCTGTAAGTCCATTAAACCTCTTCCTTTTGTAAATTGCCCAGTCTCAGTTGTGTCTTTATCAGCAGCATGAAAATAGATTAATACACAGGACAATGAAGAGATTGCTATTCCTTTTAGATTTTTTTCACAAATGAATGGTATTTATAAGTATGTTCTTTATACTAGAATTTGAAATAGCAACAAGATGAATCACACATATGCTGAAACAAATTCTAAGAGCAGTGTACATAAGAGGAAATTTTTAATTTAAGACTATCTTATTTATTTATTCTATATTCTCCACTCCTTGGGAAGTAGAAGGTAAAATAAGAAAAGCTATATATTATAATGAGAATATGGGAAAAAGGGAAACAGACATCTCAAAGGACATATTCCACAGCAGATTGCAACGCTCATATTAGATTCTGTGTCTAATTTAAAGAAATGGAATGAAATCATTCCTCCATGCAAAAGTGTGCATTCTACACTAATAATAAATTCAGAAAAAAATATGTTTTCCTGACAAAACATCAGTTTCTGTTACCATTAAGTTTCGTTTCCCAGTAGAAGAAATATTTAGTAATGTCACCTTGAAGTTAATTGGTTTTCACAAAGAAAACTAGAAGCCTCAGTAAATATTCCCATTAAAATAGTGGATTAAAGTCCCTTGAAAATGACCTTATAGTTAGTAATTTTGATAGTCATGTACTCATTGTCTTTCAGCATAAAATCCATTCCTTATACTCTACTCTGAGATGCTGGGACTAAAATTTTGCAAACTGTATTCCTGATTTCCATGATTATGTCCATCAGAGGCACTGAAGAGGAAGATGAATGAAGTGAGAAGGAACTCTCCCCCGTTTATGTTTTCTTCTTTTTTTCTTTCATTTTTTCTGCTGTTCACATCAGCATAACTCAAAAGAGAGAATGGTCTCCAGTCTCCAGCCCCTTTTGCCAGTCCTGATTTCAGCCTCATCACCCTTCTTACAGGAACCAACAACCAAGAGGCACCTCCTCTTTGGAGATTGAGTGCCAACCCCACAGGGCCTCACAAAGAACTCTCAGGCCTTGCTCTTCCCACTTCTTTTCTCATCTTTGTTTTCATCAGTTATAATCTTTGGGTTAGCTTAGTGCTCCCTTTTTGCTGTTTAAGTTTGACAGTTCTTATAAAACCATTGTGGTCTCTTATAAAATCCCCCCTGTGTGAAGACCTTGTATGATTTCTTTTCTCCTGAATTAACCATGGCTGATACAGTACTTTGAAAGGTGAAATGATTCAACAGCATATGTTCAATGACACATACAGACCTAAATCAAGCTCAAGTTATCTGATTATCTGGATTTCTTTACTAATCCTCGAGTCTCAGTTTACCTCAAGTAGTTGATCCTCAGCTATCAGCCTGGGTTAAAGGGGAGATTATACAGTGTATTTATTCCATGTGGGAATCAAGGTGAACCTCCTACACTAAAATGGATGATTATCAATGATTTATTAAGTTCATAATCACTACATGATCTGAATACATGCCTTTTTTACGTTCATGAAAAACCTTAAACACTGCAAAGAATAATGCAGCATCAAGCTAACACTCAGAATTGACAATTTTCTACACAGAAACCTGATCATTTTTATTTGTTTGGAAGCAATTCTCTGTGGTGTTTTTACCACCTCAGATGCTCTTTTCAAGAATCTTGTATAACAAAGAGCCTTGGAAGTTAGAGATAGTGTATCACTCCTTAGGAGAGAGATTTCTTGTCTGATCAGTGTAATAAACATAGAGAATGTTTTTCTCTTCAGAGACATTCTAGGAGAGTAAAGTCTTCCTTCTCCTTCGCAAAGGGATAGCCTTACATTCCAAGGCAGAGTTTCTCTGGAGATAAGGATGGGCAGGTTTTCTGACAGATCCCTTATACAATCGAGGGTTTTTACAGTGCAGTGTTTCTCAGCTGTGACATAAACCCCTGTGTGTGCAGAGTCCTTGTCAGTTTAAGCTGCTATAACAAAGTATCATAAACTGTGTGGCTTATAAACAACAGAAACTTATTTCTCACAGTTCTGGAGGCTGGAAGTTCAAGATCAGGGTGCCAGCATGGTTGGTTCTGGTGAGGACCATTTTCCGGGTGGCAGAGTGCCGCTTCTCTTTGTAACCTCACCTGGCAAAAACAGGAAGAAAGTTCTTTGGGGTTCTTTTTATAAGTGCACTAATTCCATTCATGAAGGCTTCATCCTCATGACCTAATTACCTTCTAAAGACACCGTCAAATGTCATCACATTAAAAGTTAAGATTTCAATATATAAAATATCAATCTGTAACACAAAATATTTACCCGCGCCACCCCCACGGGATTTGGAAGGTAGAGAGAACTATGAACCCACGTTGCCTGCCATGTGGTGAGCAATACTGTCTAGAACCATTTGAGTGCATCTCATTGTCTTCTTATTGAATCTATGCAAATGAGCCTAGGCAGCTGCATAACTCTAACACATTTCCAGTTAACACTAGTGCTTAAAGCCATATATATATGTGTGGATATATATATATCCACACACACAATACTAAGTACACATTTCATGGATTAATACTACTTTGTTTAAGTATATATATATGCACACACACACATATATACATACACGTATATATGTGTGTGTGTATATATATATACACACATATACATACACACACACATATATATATACACACACACACATATATCACTTAACCTTAGCAGGTAATTTTCATTTTTTCTCTTATTTTCTTTCATGTCAGATGGGTAACGTGCTGCCACCAAAACAGGATTTGAAGGAGGTACAACTCACACGTGCTCATAAACACCCAATCATCGTGCTTGAGAACAATTATTACATTCTGAGTACTTAAAGAAAATTCTAGTTTTAAAAAAGAGCAGCATTCTTATTACTGTCATTAAATGGACAGAATTCCAAAAGAAGGAGTTTATTCACTTGAGATAGAGTGGAACATAGTGAGATATTATGTGATTATGACCTTCCTTCATCTCGATCATGTTTATATGTGTAAGGATAAGCATTGAGGATAGAGGATCTTCCAGAATGTCTAGTGTGAACTTTGTTATGCAGGTTTGTGTCATCTGATTTGTATACTCTGTTATTTCCTTTTTGCCAGGGGGTGGGAGGGCCCCCCAAATGCTTACACCTTATCATTCATTAAGGTATATTTCTGATATTACTGTGTCATATTCTCTTAGTGCTGATTTATTCCTATTACTCTAGAATCTTCCTTGATTTATCAAGGTCTGTTTTTTTCTATCAGTTTGAACAACTTATTTGCATTTGTTAAAAAAAACTTACAAAGTTCTAGTGTACCTACATTTTTCAATGTGTTATTTTTAATTTATATTTTGTCTATTACCTTTCAATGTTATTTTTATTTCTAATTTGTCAACTTATTTCTTTTTTGTAGCTTATTTTTCCTGTATTATATTTACAATATCAACCCTTAATACATAGATTTTATTTATTGGCTTATTTTTAGTTCTTGAAGCATTTGTACTAATTCAGGTTGTATATTTTGTTTAGTTCATTATGTCTGAATCCTGAAGGCTTTACTTTTCTTTCTTTTGGAATGTGCTCTGTCATTTGTTTTCTTAAATATGTATTTTACCTGTAAATTGAAGGAAGAGATAGTCATGTAATCTGCTGGCTCCTTTACATTAGCATTAAATCTCCTAGTCTGAGATCCTTTATATAACACTCTGAATATCATTCACATATGCCTGTACCCCATACCATTAATCCTTTATATCTGTTATGTCTTATATCAGAAATGCCTAGTAAATCATGTCATATCATGCAGCTCAGGATGGACGCCTGCCACCAGGGAAAATGCAAACACTCAGTTTCAAAAATAGGTGATATTTTATAGTTCTTACATTCCTGCTGGTTTTCCTTTGCTATCAACTCACTTTGATCAACTTCTTGACATGATCAATTTCTTGTACTGGATATTTATATGACTTATGGATTGATGTATTTTTATTGTTTGCTTATTTACTTATTTAACTTGCTAATGCTCACAGGTCTAGTTTACTCTTGGTTCTTTTATTTATATTTAGAGCAGCCTAATAGGCAGGCAAAAAGTTGTATTTCAAGGAAGAGTTACATTATAATCAGAAACTACTGGCATGTATACTTGGCTTTACATTGACTACATGGTTCAACATTTAATAATAATTTTTGCAGTTGTGGGGTGGGGGGAGGGGGGAGGGATAGCATTGAGAGATATACCTAATGCTAGATGACCAGTTAGTGGGTGCAGCGCACCAGCATGGCACATGTATACATATGTAACTAACCTGCACAATGTGCACATGTACCCTAAAACTTAAAGTATAATAAAATAAATAAATAAATAAATAAAATTAAAAAAAAAGAAAGAAAACTTAAACCTAATTGCTCATTCTGAAAAAATAATAATAATAATAATAATAATTTTTGCTTGAATCTCATTTTTACCATATGAGAAATTTTAGCATTGCCTGAGATGCTATCTAATATTTCTCTAAACAGCTATTACAGGAGTTCTCTCTTCTCAGTAGAGGATTTGTTCCAACACTCCCAAATGGTACCCAAAACTGTGGATAGTATCTAATCTTATATATACTATGTTTTTTCTGTACATAGATACTCATGATACAGTTTAATTTACAAATTACATGCAATAAGATAAACAATATTAATAAAATATAAGGATTTTAACATTATAGTGTAATCAAAGTTATGTGGATATGATCTTTCTCCCTCTCAAAATATCATATTATAATTGACTCACCCTTGTTATTTTATTACTGTTGTGGTCTGTTGAACTGATCACCAAGAAGGCTATTGAGAGACTGTCAGGCAGGTAGCATACACAGCACGGATATGCTGGATGAAGGAATGACCCATGTCCAGAGCAGGATGACCCAACATTTTATCACGCTACTCAGAACTACATGCAATATAAAATTTATGAATTGTTTGTTTCTAAAATTTTTCATTCAATATTTTCTAACAATGGCTGACCACGGAAAACAGAAATGGCAGAAAGTGAAACTACTGATAAAGTGGGACTACTGTGTTAGCCTTTTCTTCTTCTAAACTTTTCTTCTCCTCAATTATTTGTTCTAAAAAAACTAGTATTTTACGGTGCATTTGTCCATCTCCCCCGGTCTAGGGTCTTGGTTTTCCCACTATGCTGGAGACATTGGGTGTCTGGTCTCATATAAGACAAAAATAACTCTTTTTTTCCTCAAAATAATATATATTTAGAGTTTTAAAATGTTATTATGTTTAAGAAGAATTTACCTAATTTTTAAATGTAAAGTTAAGAACTCTAAACCAATCACAACCAATTGAGTTAAGGACTAAATGCATCCCTAAAATAAAAATATCAAAACTGAAGAAAATAAATGGAAGTTGAAAAAAATTAATGTTTATTAATTTAAAAGTCAGAAATGAGAAGCCATGTAAAATATTTATAAATAAACAGACATATAAGAATTAATCATCAAATACGTGCTTTACAAAATAAATAAAAACCAAAATAAAATAATAAATAACTTGAATACATCAGAAAGTAATTTGAGAAGCACCAGAAAGTACTATGTTAAAAGAGTTGTAGGAAATGGCAGAAGACTTCATAAAAGGATAAAGAGCTTTAATGAATTTTCTTCATAGAGCAATAAAAGTAACAGAAAAGAAATTTAAATTTTAAAATCCTCTAATAAAGTAGAACAGTTTACATTATAACACTTTATTTAATAATATTTAAACAATGTTTTCAGAGGTATAGATTATAGATAAGATTCAAGTATTAATAGATGGTTTTTAGTGCCTGTAAAATCTTTGAAGGTACCAGTAAAATGTTTGGAGGTACCAGTAAAATATATGGAGATACTAGTAAAATCTTGGATAGAGGCAAGTTGTGCTAAGACTTCACCATTTGCTACGAAGATTTTCCAGTTTTCTATGTATCCTGACATCTTAAATCACATTTGGTATTCCAAATCATTTTTGGATAAATTTCAAGCTGTTGTTTTATTAGTTAGGTTGAAACAAATACCAAATAAAAATTTGGTTTTTTGACCTTTCTCTCACATTTCCTCAAATAATGTGTTGTACTGCAGCAATTTTTATTAATGTTTGAAGATGCTAGCAGCCCTCCTAGTATTGACCTTTTGAAATTATTGAAAAATAAAGAAAAATAAATCTTCCTCCTGGAAATTCTAAACAGTCTCCTGTTTTCATGACCTTATTTGATGCCTGATCCTATTACCTTGCCTGTGATCAAAAGTCAGGGCTTCCCACTCAGCAGAAAGCAGATCATTTATTTTCTTAGCAGGAGATTTCTCTCATGTCATTAATGATTCATACAGGTCATGTTTACAAGGGGCAAGAGTTTTCAAGTTTGCTGTATTATAAAGCAACAACTTCTATTTTGTATAAATATAGTGTGTGGGAGCTTATATAAGACAATCAAGAGTGCTAACTTAAATTCTGTTGTCTTTTTGTTTTATAGAATGGGATGGAATGAAAGGGGAAATATAAGGAAAAGATGATATAAAATCCTAGGAACAATAACCTCATTCAAGTATCCATGAAGCTAGCATGGAGAATGAGAGACAATTTTACATGCTTGAATATTCAGATTGAAGAATCAGAGTTGGTACCAGACATTCAAAGGAAACTTGAGAAAAATAAAGGACTTCAAAGTATAATTATGTTCTTCATTAGTTTCTTAGTTTTTTAAATTTATATTATTACCTCCTTTTTGCAAATTAAAGACATTTAATTCAACAACCATAATTTATAGTTCAACATGCTTTTTCTTGTAGGTCATACTTTTAACTTGACTTAATTTTTATATTTCATTGTAAAATGTACACTACTAAAAAAGAACAAATTGTTTTATTGGGATAAGTTAATTAAAGCAACAGAAGTATTCCATGTGAAATTAGCCAGATATACTTTCATTCTTGAGCTAATTGTAAGTGTTGCTATTGTTGTCATACAAGAATTTTAGGCAATCAGACTAGGAAGGCATAATTTATGATTGTATACACAAGGTGGATTTCAAATGAGGAAAGAAAAAACCTGCAACCTTTCATATCACAGAACAACCAGTTTATAATATAAAAGCCTAATAATTCATCTATTTTATCACCTAATTATTTTACAAACAGCAATGTTCCTGTCATAATTCATTACCTCAAATTGTTCCCTGTGAGAGGGTGCTGGATGGTGTTATATACCAGCTTGCCACAGCAATAGGAATCACCTTTTGTCTCAGGCTATTAATTATGGAGCCAATTATTGCTTTCTTAAAAATATTTTCAAAGACATAAAAGTGAAAACACTAGATAAGACATCTTCAAAGTAATATTGAAATGTTTTCTGAATACCTATGTTCCGACGGTAAACATATGTGGAGATGAATCTGACATGTTAACTGTTGTTGCCAGCAGATCACTAGGAGATACAATCACAGAGGCAGAACTTCCAAGGACGTGTGATGATTTTTGAGGGCCAGATAAGCCCAATTATTGACTGCAATTGAGCAGCTGCCAAAGGCTTGATGATCCTAACAGTTGAGAATGAATGTCTAAAGAACAGATCAGCTGTCCAATTTTTAACATCCCTAAGTATTAAATCTCTGTATTAGAAGATCAGAAGGAAAAGCATCTGCACAAATAACCTCATCCTCCAAAAAAAATGTTTTCACTGGGTTTCAATTTAACTTTATTCCCTCAGCCATTTTGGAGTTGATATAAGAGTAATTAATTTTAGCATCATATCAGTGTCAATTTTAAGAACTGAACTTATACGTGATACTGAGTATGCTATCTAATGACCATGCAGGAAACTTACAATTTCAATGATGTTTCATTGAATTCACTATCAGTGTAAAATTTTTCCGATTAATCATGTGTTTTATCAGAGCATAAAAATTATGTGAACTATATGAGGTTTCATGAGTTACAGAGTATATTTAAAACATTTTATCCTTACTAAAACCTGATGAGGTAGAAAGAGCAAATGTTTTTGTTATAATTTACAGAAAAAAAAATTAAAGTAAAAAGTGAGACACAGAGTTAATGTGACTTCCCTTGACTGCCATGAGTATCTGACTGAAAAGAGGTTATGAATATTCTATTAAGCTATATCTTTTTTCCAGATCTGTTATATATTTTTTGCTAAGTATAAAGGAAAGTTTAAAAAAAAGTTACTATCCAAAATTAAAGTTAACTTATTTTAAATAACTATGTTTAGTCTATATATTATTTATGTCTTTCATTTTAAAATCAACTATTATATTTTAAATTATTAGATATTCAATAAACCTATAAATATATTGAATTCAGATATCTGTTTTTCTCATAGAAATAGAGACTAAGAAGTATGAAAATACATATATCACAGCTTAATTCCCCAAAACTTTTCTGGAGTATATACTAGCAGTAATCATTTTTTTTATGATACACTCTTCACTTCTTCCCAATTACATATGGAGAAATATAGGTAAAATAAGTGTATTGTAAAAATTTTGTTTTTTAGTATTTTAGTATTTAGTATTTTAGTATTTTTAGTACTTTAAAAATATAGTTTTTCTTCACAAATTTGGAAAAAAGTGGTGGATACATATGTATTATGTGAGATATAACAACGCTTTCCACAATTCCATGAAGATAAATATCACCTAGAATACTTGTAGTTATTTAAGTGTATCAATTACGATACCCACTCCTGAAGAATCCATCTTGGGGTAAGTGGAAGGTCCCTGTTAACAATGTTCTCAGTGACTAGAAGCTCCTAGTTAACAAGGTCCTCAATGTTTTTTATTATCTGGGGACTTTACAAACGACGCTCTTGAGCTCTGATGAGCATAGGGAGAAAGCTAAACATCAAGAAAATGAACAGCCACGTTTTGCTGGCCTAATTTCTAAGGTGTCCTTCCAAGCATAAGACTAATGTGTGTACCAAGCAAATAGAAAAAATGCACACACCCACACACTCCTAAATACATTAATTACATTGAACTAAAGTAGAGCTGGCAAGATATGCAAGAAGATAACAGTAACGGAAAGATCTTTTTTTCTTTTCCTGTGAGCATACAGGCATGATTTAACTTGTATATATAGATGATAGCTAGAGATAGATACATAGATACATGTATAGAAAAATCCTGTTTTTATACTATTCTTAAGAGCTAAAATCATTTTATCTCCATAATATCCTTTATGTAGTGATAAAAATACCACATTTGATCCCTTCTTAACATTTACTTTTCTGCATATGGATTTTCTTAAAATATCTTTACCATAAGAATGACATCCTATTTTCATAGCAATGAGAAATGGAGCATTTGCAGTGAAGGTTTGACCTGATAGAGTACTTAGTCCTATTTCATCTGATTCCCACTATAATTTTGATAACATCATTGATGTTTCTATTTTTTGAGAAGACATAATGATGATAGGGAAATTATTCTTTCCTTCTCCAAGTGCTTTTTCTTTTTTTTCATAGACTTTTTTTTTTTCTTTCTTGGAGAATTTCACCTAAACTTACAGATTTAATTTTACTTTAATTCTTAAACTTATTTTTCCCGGCTGTTATATGTATTTATTTTTAAACAGCATTTTCCGCTCCACAAATGCAAAGACATGAGGTCTGAAAAAAAGAAGGAAGTAAAATAAGCCGGGTGCAGCAGCTCATGCCTGTAATCCCAGCACTTTGGGAGGCCGAGGTGGGTGGATAACTGGAGTTCGGGTGTTCGAGACCAACCTGACCAACATGGAGAAACCCTGTCTCTACTAAAAATACAAAATTAGCTGGGCGTGGTGGTGCATGCCTGCAATCCCAGCTATTCAGGAGGCTGAGGCAGGAGAATCACTTGAACCTGGGAGGCGGAAGTTTCAGTGAGTCGAGATAGCGCCATCGCACTCCAGCCTGGGCAACAAAAGCAAAACTCTGTCTCAAAATAATAATAATAATAATAATAATAATAATAATAATAATATATTAGTCTGAGGAAGTCAAGAGAATAGAAAATTATATGTGTCTAGACCTTATTCAAACAAACTTTGTTTTACTTTACTAAACTTGTTCAAGTATTGAATAACTCTAGGTGGAATCTAGAAGCTGGTAATAAATTAGTTCTGCCTCACTATCTCTGCCTAGTGTTTTCTCTTTGCTCTTAGTCAAGATGAAGCTACATAACTAAGGATTAATGCTAATGGCAGTATGAAGACTCATTTGCTAAAACATCAAAAATAAGAAAGAAGGAAGAAGAAAGAAAGAAGGAAGGGAAGGCAAGGGGAGGGGAAAGGAGGGGTGGGGGAGAAGGGGGAAAAGGGGGAAGGGAAGGAGGGAAGGAAGGAGAAGACGAAGAGTAGTAAGAGCAGGAGGATGAAGAGGAGGAGGAGAAAGTGGAGGGCATTTTTAACAAAATATATGTTAGTAAATAAAAACAAATAAAGAGTGTTATAAATGATCAGAAACAAACTTGAATATATTTGCTTGCCTGGTGTTAAATCAAAATAAATATGAGATCATTAGCCTGGGATTACTACCATACTAGGATCTCCTACACAAGCAAACCGAAATTTAAGTCAGAGGTAGTCCTTGTAACTGATTAATTTTTGAATCAAGCTTCAGTCAGTCACAGGTAGCCATGTGGCCAATTGGTTATATAACTAGGTTAGTAAATGTGAATAATGTCAAATAAAAACCACTTTGAATATCTCTGTAAAATATTTCTACAGAAGACAATAGGAGACTAAATTTCCAATTCATATAATTCTGTCTTATAATCAAAGAACAGAAATAGAGATCATCAGATAGCTTTTCTAAGGAAATGTAAAGTGTAATTTATCTTCTGTATTTGTGTTATATTACATTACTTAACCAATTTTTAAATTTCTATATATTTTTGAATTACATTCTTTCTTTTTTCCCTTCGTTACATGCTACATATATTTGAGGGAGGTTAAATTTTAATTCAGGGCGAAACAGTGCTAAACCTTTCATTTTCTGTTTGTTTGTTTTCATTGTACCATCCTCATGTAATTGAGGAAATAAACCAGCTGACTTAACGCTGAATGTAAAAAATGTATATACTTTTTTCCCTTTGGGTAATGTATAATAAAAGTTGCTTTATTTTGAGTGTAGCAATTATAGATCTTGAGATAGTTTCCTAAGGCTGATATAAAATTTGCCAAAACCTTTTAAGATTTAAAACAGGAAAATTTGTTTTCTTATAATTCTAGAGGCTAGAAATTAAAAACCAAAAAAAACCAAGGTGCGGTGCTCTGTTCAAAGGCTTTAGGGTAGGATATTTCTTTGGCTCTTGATGGCTTCTGGTAGCTTTTAGCCCTCCTTGGTAGTCCTTGGCTTATAGATACATTGCTCCAACTTTGCCTAATTCTACACATGATGTTTTCTCTTTGTGCCTATATGTTTCTATGATGTCACTGTATTAAGCCTCACCCTAATCTAGCGTGATCTCATCTTAAATTAATTACATCTTGCAAAGATATTATTTCCAAATAAGCTCACATTCATAGGTATCTGGTGTTAGGAGTTTAACATATTTTTAGTGGGGGTGGATACAATTCAAATCACAACAAATTTGTAAAGGTTGAAAACACACAGGCATGTGCAGAATGGGAGAAAATGTTTGCAAACTCCGGCAGAAGATGAATATACAGAAAATAAAAGATACTGAAACATCTTAACAGCTAAAACACAAGCAATCCAACTAAAAATGGACAAATGATCTGAGCAGATATTTCTTAAAAGAGGACATACAAATAGCCAAAAAATATATGAAAAAAATGCTCAGCATCACTAACCATCAAGAAAATACAAATCAAAACAATTAGATATTATCTCACCCCATTTAGAATGTCTATTATCAAAAAGACAAAAAATAACAAATGCTGATGAGGGTGCAAAGAATGAGAAACACTCATATATGATTTTAGAAATGCAAAGCAATACAGCCAATGTGGAGAATGATATGGCGTTTCCTCAAAAACACTACTAATAAAACTATCATATGATCCAGCAATTCCACTACTAAACATTTATCCAAAGAAAAGGAAATCAGTATATGGAAGAGATATCTGCACTCCTGTGTTTATTGTAGCACTATTGGCAATAGCCAAGATAGGGAATCAACCTCAGATTCCAATAGATGGATGGATAAAGAAAATGTAGTATATATACATAATGGAATCCTATTCAGCCGTAAAAAAGAATAAAATCCTATCATTCATGGAAATATGGATGAGCATGGAGGGCATTATGTTAAGTGAAATCAGCCAGAAACAATTAGTTAAACACCACCTGTTCACATTCATGCTCAGAAGCTACAAAAGTTGAACTCATTAAAGTAGAGTAGGCTGGGCGCAGTGGCTCATACCCATAATCCCAGCACTTTGGGAGGGCGAGGTGGATGGATCACCTGAGGTCAGAAGTTCGAGACCAGCCTGGCCAACATGGTGAAACTCTTATTCTACTAACAACACAAAAATTAGCCAGGCGAGATGGCTGGTGCCTGTAATCCCAGCTACTTAGGAGGCTGAGGCAGAATTGCTTGAACCCCGGAAGCAGAGGCTGCAATGAGCTGAGATTGCACCACTGCACTCCTGCCTGGGTGACAGAGCAAGACTTTGTCTAAAAAAAAAAAAGTAGAGTAGAACAGAGGTTACTAGAGACTGGGAAGGGTAGGAGGAAAGGTTAGAAAAAGTGGGAAATAGGGAGAGATTTGTTAAAAGGGTGCAAAATTACAGCTGCACAGGATAATTTCCAGTGTTCTATAGCACTGCCGAATGACTGTGGGTAACAATACCTATTATTTTCAAACAGCTAAAAGTAATTGAATGTTCCCAACCCAAAGAAGTAATAAATGTTTGAGATGATATGTATGTTAATTACCTTGATCTGATCAACCTACATTGTATATATTGAAACATCACTATGAATCTCATAAACATGTACAATTATAATTCAATTACAAAAAGATAACAAAGTTAAGAACACATGTATGAGTATATATGTGTGTGGTTGACTAAAAATAAAATATAGTGGATATTTTATTTTAGTCTGTTGTACTCACCGTCCTCTTTTGAATACTTTCTTATAATTTTCAGTCACTTGAATCTGTTGTGGCTAACCATCTCCCTCCTCCCTGACACAGAATTCGTCATAAAATCCCATCTGTATCAGTTGCTCTTAAGGCATGACCAAACAAACGCACAGAGCACCTCTAAAAAGGCTGGATTCAACGCATTTGGGGAAACATAGTTGTGATTATACCATTCACATACCCATGAAGCCAGGCATGGCTTTGAAATTCTTAAATTAGAAGCATGTTTGGAGTAAACAAGTATCATTACAGTTTTATAAAAAAACAAAGGAAATACTGAAAAAGAAAACACACATTCCTAGGAGTAGGTTTTAGAGAGTGTTACTAATCTGTAATTTTTAGATTTCTACAGTGTGACATTACACTGAAGCCAATGCTAAATTCAGTACATGTATTTTTGTGTGTCTGTGTACATGAGTGCCTGATTGTTGAACAACATGCGACTTTGCAAAGGAAAGTGTAAAGTTCAGTTTTGCATTTATTTTAAATGCTCTATACTGGTGTGATATAAACATACTCTTGTTCAAATTTATCATTTACTCTCCATGTTATGGCTTTTTTGAAATATCACAGATGAATAATGAATTACTGAAATAATAAATAATCAAACCATTCCAGACATTCAAATATTCCTAAAATTCTAATTCAGACTCTCCAATTAAAATGCAACTATTTTATCCAGTTTGATAACAAGCCAGTATCTCAAATTACTGATAGAATACTCTTGAAAATAAAGAGAGTTATAGCCATTGTTGCAGAAATGTCTTGCATTTCTTCCGCTTATCATGGCCAATTAAAAGTTCCAGAAGATTCTGCCACCCAGTTTTTAATTGTCGAATTTTCAGTATTGTCTTTGTTATCTTCAAGTTAATACAAAGACTTGTGTCAACCTTTGCCATGTTATCACAAATAACAGCTGGGAGCAAGAACAAATGGAACAGCGTCTAGAGTACCCCATGCAAAATTCTCCGTAAGAAAATATTAAGAATAACAATATTTAAATAAGATTTTCAGTCACTTAAAAATGCAGAGAGCTTTATCATAAGAAAAATTGAAAACAAATATTTTAATGAATTTTTCACCCCAAGTGTGCCATTATCTTTATTGGTCAATAACATCACAAATTAATTTTCATTACATTTCAAAACATGTAAAATATTATATATTTATAATAATATGTTCATACACACATATATTTCATATAATTTATATTTGTAATATGTTATTTACATAAAAATATATTGTTTGTATAATATGAAACCACACTCAGGTGTGCCATGCAGATTCTAAAGGACAGATAAAACAGGCTTATAAACTTTAAAAAAACACACACGTGTATCTGTGTCAAAAATTGTATACACATCTCTGATTTATTTTTCTGTAAATAATAAGTAATAAAAATGTTACCTTCTCCTACTTGTAATAGATAAATTATTTGGTACATTTCTGAGAGGGAGTTTACTTTCACAACTCAAATCTTCTTTCAGATACAAAAAAATTCAGTCCTAAGAGTTTAAATTGAAGAGTGAGAGGAAATCTTAAAATCTGACTTTAAACCCAAGAATATTTATTGAATGCCAATTCACTTTAGAAAATTAAATACACACTCTCGAAACACATAGCGAGACATATATTTCCTGGTGTTTTTATAAAAGAATACCTTATAGAAAGACATATTTGCACAAGACAGTAGATAGTATTCAACACTCACTTATCTTAAAAGTAGTTCTGTTTTGTGACATATAATATTCTTGGGGTGCCAAAGTCATTTTATAAAGATATTTTCCTATAGTGAATAATTGAGCGTCTTTATAAATTAGATATTTCTGAAGGGAAACACACTAATGCTCTATATCATTTGTACTTCATATAATGTCTTCACATCTCATATAATGTCTTCAAGTGACAATGAAAGCAGAAGATAAACAATGGGATTTTATTAGCTAAGGGATTGGTTTTATGCGGGCTAGTAAATTATATGTTAATGCCTACTTGTTTGGAGATATCAATTATATACAGCACATCGTGACTGTCTAACTTGCATGACCTCCATCTGCCCAGTTAAATTATTAAAATAATCTGGAACTGCCAAGTGTTAGTGCTTTCCCAATGCATGGCTGACATATTGGAAATAATTCTAATTCTACTGGGTGCTGCTTTGAAATTTAGATTAGTCTAGAAAATGAGACAAAACAAATAATTTTTTTAGTATTTATCATTAAACCTTGTCACAATTTAATCATGTGGCAATTTTATTTCCAGAAATGGCTGGAGTGTAGGTATTGTCCATACTCAATTAGAAATTAGAAATTTAGAAGACTGTTTAGAAAATACTAAAATAATTATAATTTTTCAATTTTTCTTACTTTAAAGTTGTTAATATAATTTTAACCCACATAAACCAAGAGTCTCAAACCAATAAAACAAAAGAAAGGTTAAGGATACGCAATAGGATAATAAATCATGACCTGCATTAAACTATCATTAATCTGGTGGTACACATTTTTATAGACATTTTCTATATATAGTCACACATATTTTTATATAATTAAAATTATATTAGATAATTTGAGCATTGTCACAATGTCTGTCAAGACAGGATGTTGAAAACTAAGAAAAATCAAATAAGATCAGTTCACCTGTATAATTAGATTTACTATTATTTGAGACATATTTAAGAATGGTTCTGTCACTCTTGCCTTATTTTAAATTGCAGAGAGAAAATACAGGAGTGTCTCAGAACTATTGGGAATTAAACAGGTACACACATATATTTCCATTTTATGGTATAGTTTATAACTCATTTTATAATTTTATTGAAAAACTACATATTTTATAATTATCCAACCATCATTGTATACATGTATGCTATGGTATCCAGAGAACACGCTAAATTATCATATACTTTTAGCAATCCATAGTTCATAGATACTGTAACCCACACATACATCACTCAACACTCAAGCTCAGGACTGAGTAAGTTTCAGTAGGCTCAGGTCCTTATTTTTGTATAGTTTTCCATAGTATACGCATTTGCATCCAGTTTGGTTGCAATTTTTTTATTGCCATCCCTAATCCTATTTGGATAAAAAGCCAAAAAGCTTAGTAGACTGTAGCCAAAATGGTAATTTTTAAATGATCCATTCACATAAAAATTTTGACTAAAATATACAACAATGTTATTTAGGTTAAATATAAATTTGTCTACAATTGTCTACAGTAAAGCCAAGCCTTATGGAAAAGTAAGTAGCATGTGCTTGCTTACAAACTTTGGTGTTAAAAGATAGTTAAATGGAAATATATATATATTTATATATATATATTTGTATATATTTATATATATTTATATATTTGTTTATATTTATATATATTTGTGTATATTTATATATATTTATATATATTTATTTATATTTATTTTATATATACACATATATTTCCATTTATATATATGTGTATATATATATGGCAGGTGGTAACAAAGCATGTTGCTGAATATAAGTCAGATAGATAAACTGTTATATGTTCACATTCAACAAAAACAGTCTCTAAGTTATATATCCAGATATATGCCTTTATTTAGACAAGAACAAAGGCATCATTATAAAATTTATACTTTCAGGCAATATACATACAACTAAAAATTCATGGATAAAATGGTAAATGTTGATGATTGTAGGGCATGCTTCAGGAGAAAATAGAAAGTAACTCATTGTATTAGTCCATTTTCATGCTCCTGATAAAGACATAACTGAGACTGGGAAGAAAAAGACATTTAATGGACTTACAGTTCCACATGGCTGAGGAAGCCTCACAATCACGGCAGAAAGCAAAGAGGAGCAAATCATGTCTTACATGGATGGCAGCAGGCAAAGAGAGAGAGAGAACTTGTGCGGGAGAACTCCTCTTTATAAAATCATTAGATCTCCTGAGACTTATTTACTAGCAGGAGAACAGGACAAGAAAGACTCATCCCCGTGATTCAACTATATCCCACTGGGTCCCCTCCACAACACATGGGAATTGTGGGAGTTACAATTAAAGATGAGATTTGGGTGGGGAC
Source organism: Homo sapiens (assembly GCF_000001405.40). Taxonomy (NCBI): domain Eukaryota; kingdom Metazoa; phylum Chordata; class Mammalia; order Primates; family Hominidae; genus Homo; species Homo sapiens. The sequence goes on along the minus strand of NC_000005.10, from coordinate 18,829,536 downwards.
ACAGACAAATCATGTCATTCCATCCCTGGCCCCTTCCAAATCTCATGTCTTCACATTTCAAAACCAGTTATGCCTTCCCAACAGTCCTCCGAGTCTTAACTTACTTCAGCATTAACCCAAAAGTCCAAAAAGTCCCACCTAAGACAAGGCAAATGCCTTCTGCCTGTGAGCCTGTAAAATCAAAAGCAAGTTAGTAACTTCCTAGATATAATGGAGGTACAGGTATTAGGTAAATATAGCCATTCCAAATGGGAGAAACTGGCCAAAATAAAGGGGCTACAGGGCCCATGCAAGTCCAAAAGCCAGCAGGGCAGTCAAATCTTAAAGCTCCACAATGACATCCTTTGACTCTATGTCTCACACATGGGACACACTGATGCAAGAAGTGGTTTCCCATGGTCTTGGGCAGCTTTGCCCCTGTGGCTTTGCACTGTGCAGCCTCCCTCCTGGCTGCTTTCACAGGCTGGCATTGAGTGTGTCTTTTCCAGGCACACAGTGCAAACTGTCAGTGAATCTACCATTCTGGGGTCAGCGGGACGGTGGCCCTCTTCTCACAACTCCACTAGGCAGTGCCCCAGTAGGGACTCTGTGTGTGGGCTCTGACCCCACATTGCCCTTCTGCACTGCCCTAGCAGAAGTTCTCCAAGAGGACCCCATCCCTGCAGTGAACTGCTGCCTGGGCATCCAGGTGCTTCCATACATCTTCTGAAATCGAGACAGAGGTTTCTAAACCCAATTCTTGACTTCTGTGCACTCACAGGTTCAATACCACGTGGAAGCTGCCATGGCTTGGGGCTTGTACCTGCTGAAGTCACAGCCTGAGCTCTACATTGGCCCCTTTTAGCCATAGCTGGAGTGTCTGGGACACAGAGCACCAAGTATCTAGGCTGCACAGAGCATGGGGAGCCTGGCCCAGAAAACCACTTTTTTCTCCTAGGTCTCCAGGTCTGTGATGGGTGGGGCTGCCAAGAAGACCTCAGACATGCCCTGGAAACATTTTCCCATTGTCTTGGGGATTAACATTCAGCTCCTTGTTACTTATGCAAATTCCTGCAGCTGGCTTGAATTTCTCCTCAGCAAATGGGATTTTCTTTTTTATCGCATTGTCAAGCTGCAGATTTTCCACACTTTTATGCTCTCCTTCCATTATAGCACTGAAGGCCTTTAACAGCACCTGAGTTACCTCTTGAATGCAATGCTGCTTAGAAATTTCTTCTGCTAGATACCCCCCCAAATCATCTCTCTCAAGTTCAAAGTTCCACAAATCTCTAGGGCAGGGGCAAAACGCCATCAGTCTCTTTGCTAAAATATAACAAGGGTCACCTATGCTTCAGTTTCCAACAAGTTCCTCATCTCATGCCAGAAAAAGTAATGCTTTGGATCTAATTTATCCAGGATTTCAGTTTTATTAAGTCAGATTTCTCAAACTGTATAAGAGCTACACAAATAATTTTCAATTAAAAAAGTGAACTAGGGGGAATTTGTGGCAGCCTTGTCTGTGTTGGGTGTTGAGAGGGGCGCTGAAGCCAGAAATCAGGATTCTTAGTTCAAATCTTCTAAAGTTTAAATGTAGCTAATGAACTACACTTTTAAAAACACTACCAAAATCTGACAGCAGCTGTCAATTAGGTACAGGTCAAAGGCCTCCATTAGAATTTTAAATAGTTTAAATTATGTATTTGATTACCAGACTCATAATGACAGCTAATTTTAGATATAGAAATTCACATCAATTTTTCATAATTCAAGACCTTGCTATTTCTTTCTTTATTGCTTAAGAAGCATCCAATATTATTTCATGATTTTGTTCCTGTTTTTGAGCATTTCCTGAGCCATATTTTTGCCACTGGTCATTAGCAGAGAGAAGTATTCTTCACTAAAGTAGTTCTGTGCTGTAGATTATATTTCATTTCTGGTTGTTTGTCCACCTCACACTGTCTGCTCCCCATAAGACTGATTCTATGAATCTCTTGGAGACTATGTAAACCACCCCAAAACCCTTTAACACATTCCTTTTTGGGGGTGTGCACACGTTATAATAGCGGTGTCTTATGTTTGTAACTGAGAACCCTAAGACATGGAAACTTTTCCTCCTGTACTCAGATACATATTAATTACCTTCTTTCTCTTTGTTTACTCTTAAATCAATCGTTAAGAAATTAATTTCCTAGCAATGTTTTAATTTATCACCCTTTAAAATGTCCACAGAATGGTGGAAATGGTAGGCACAATACACTGGAATATTATAAAAATACAATCCATAAAAGTCATGTCACTAGTCCATAATATACTTTACAAAATGTTATAATAAAGCAATATATAAACAACATTTTTCAGTTCGTTTCCCAGTGAACTGTCAAAGTTGTGCTATGAAAAGTCAATGTCCCCCTAAAATGGAAGAGTTCTGAAACTTTATTCTATCCATCTTATAAATTCTGAGTTTTCAAATGTTTTCTCCTGTGGACTATTAAAAAAGCTTTACCCAATGCTGTATTGCACAGACCTCAGCTCATAATGTTATAATACATCACAAATCCCCAAGTATAACTTAATTTCACATAAAATTGTAAAATAAGTCTAAATAAATTTATTTTTCTAAAATTTGAGGAGTACAATTTGTGTCTTCACTATAATTGATTGGGTATTAAATTAGTATAAAGTGTCAAGAATTCAAGTACCAAATTTGACATTCATTCATTAAAGATATATTGAAAAAATGAACTTTGCAGGCACTGTGGCAGGGTAAAATTATGATGTAGGATCAGTAGATGTGTAGGCTTGCTCTTCATCACAGAGCGTCAAGCACTCCTCTGTACCTGCAGAATACAGCAAGGCATTCAGAGTTGCTGCAGTTAAATCAGTATGTGTTATATTTTCCTCCAACTATGATGCTGATAGTGAGCCAAGGACTGAACTCAATGTTTTATTTACACTATATCATTTGATGCTATTCAGTGTATGCATAATCTGTGTAATAAGCCCACATCATTGTTTCTATATTTGAGCAAATGCAACAAAAGCTAATACAGGTTAAGTAATTGTTTGAGGGTCATAACTTTTCAGTGACAGAGTTGACATCCCAATCTGGAATTTAGTGATTCCAAAACTTGTGCCCTTGGCATCCTAAATATCAGTTAAAAAAATGTTTTCAGCCCTTCAAATAGTTGTAAAAATAATGTTTGCCTTAAATCAAAGATAGATTTATAAATGCATAGTTTTTAAATATATTTTAAAATGGGTTTTTCTGAAAGAAGATATTTTTCAAAAAGCAATAGAGAATAGTTGCTTAGTTTGATTTGCTACTAATTTTTAATAGAAACGATTTTTATATGTGAATCAACAGAATAACAGAACAAGCATGGAAAATATTTTAAAATATCTGCTAAAGTCTTACATCTAAATAGGATGACAGATGATAGATCGAACAATTGATTGACAGATACAGAAAAATAGATAAATAGGTAAGAAGATGGAGAAAGTAAGGGCAGAAAGAAAAAGAGAGAGAGAGGGAGAACCAAAGACAGCTTATGTATATGTGTTTTGTTTACTAAGAGAGGAATGTTTGAGGAGCTGACTGGTGTAGCTTGGAAGACAGTAGAAAATGGATGGGTTGATTCCACATCTTTGCTATTTTGCTACTGTGAATAGTGCTGCGATGAACATATGTATGCATATGTCTTTATGATAGAATGATTTATATTCCTTTGGGTATATACTCAATAAAGGGATTGCTGGGTTGAATCCTCTCAGGAATCATACTTATTACCTGTGTGGTGAAATCATATGTACACCAAACCCCTGTGACACGCCACTTACCTATGTAACAAACCTGCACATGTACTCTGAACCTAAAATAAAAGTTAAAAAATAAAGCAATAGGCCAAGTGTGGTAGCTCACACCTGTAATCCCAGTACCTTGGGAGGCCAGTGTGGGTGGATTACTTGAGGCCAGGGGTTCGAGGCAGCCTGGCCTACATGGCAAAACCCCGTACGACTAAAAATACAAAAATTAGCCAGGTATGGTACTGCATCCTTGTGATCCCAGCTTCCTGGGAGGCTGAGGCACAGGAATTGCTTGAACCCAGGAGGTGGAGGCTGCAGTGAGCCGAGATGGTGCTACTGCACTCCAGCCTGGGCGACAGAGCAAAACTCTGTCTCCAGAGGAAAAAAGTAAATAAATAAATAAAAATAAAAATAAAAGTAGGATAGGTATACTTCATAAAATTTATTGTATTGGTCTTGCATGCTCTAAGCATTTTTTTAATGGACCAGTGATATGGTTAGGCTTTGTGTCTTCACCCACATCTCATTTTGAATTGTCATCTCCATAATTCCCCCTAATCCCCACGTGTGAACAGAGAAACAAGATGGAGGTAATTGAATCATGGGGGCGGTTTCTCCCATAGTGTTCTCTTGATAGGGAGTGAGTTCTCAGGAGATCTGATGGTTTTATGAGGCACACTTCCCCCTTGGCTCAGCACTTTGGTTTCCTGCCACCTTGTGAAGAAGGTGCCTTGCTTCCCATTCACCTTCCACCATGATTGTAAGTTTCCTGAGTCCTCCGCAGCCATGCTGAACTCTGAGTCAATTAAACCTCTGTTTTTTATAAATTACCCAGTCTCAGGCAGTTCTTTATGGCAGTATGAAAATGGACTAATACAACCAGATAGTACATACAGGTTTTTGTTTTAACGGGCCATACAATTTCTATCACAACTACTCCTTTATTTGTAGCCCCAGTGCTGCCAAAAAGTATCTGGAAATTGTATTAGGGGGCCTCCTTTGTAGCCACCCACTCCCCTCTCTCAGCACATATCCAGCACTGATATGTTCTCATCCCTATAGGTGTATCTTTTGCAGAATGTTATATAAATGCATAACTTCTTTACAATCATACAATATGGAGCCCAGGATCTGACGTTTACCAGTGAAAAGTCATATAAAATACATCCATATTGTTTTGTGATTAAATATTTTTCCCTCTATTTAGGAGTAAAATTTTATTGAATCAGTGTTTTACATTCTGTACATTCATCTGTAAAAAGAAATCTTGAGTTTACAGTTTAAAGTGATAATGATAGCTATAAACATATACAGAACTAAGTGTAAACATAAGTTTTTCATTGACTTTAGTAAGTACCAAGAAAAAGAGCTACTGAGTCAAATGGTAAGTATACATTTAACATCAACATGTACTCTATTTTCCAAAGTAGCTGCACCAGTTTTGCATTCCCACAGCAATGAATGAAAATTTCTGGTATTCTCATAATTGGCTGTTGTCATTTTTCTTTAGCTATTTGAATAAATGTGTAGTGGTATGATACTGTAATTTTAATTTGCATTTCTCCTGATCACTAATGATGTTGAACAACTTTTTATATGCTTAGTTGTTTTTATTTTACTTTATGAGACAGGGTCTTACTCTGTTGCCCAGGCTGAAGTGCAGTTGCCTGATTTCCATTCACTGCAGCCTCCACCTCCCTGTCTTAAGTGGTCCTCCTACCTCAGCCTCCCAAGGAGCTGGGACTACAGGTACATGCCGCCATGCCCAGATAAAGTTTTTACTTTTTGTAGAGATGGGGTTTTGCCATATTGCCCAGGCTGGTCTCTAACTCCCGGGTTCAAGTTATCCTTGCACCTCAGCCTGCCAAAGTGCTGTGATTACAGGCATGAGCCACTGAGCTGGCCCTATGTGCTTAGTTGTTAACTGCTAACCATATCTCTTCTTTGCTTAAGTGTTTAAGTTTTTTTGTCTTTTTTTTTTTTTTTGGACATTTTACAAAGGGTGAGGCTTTTTTATTGTTAAGTTTTAGGGTTTTAAAATATTAGGAACTTAGAAATTTAATGTTTTAATGTGTAAGGTAGGAATATAAATAGAAGGCACATCAATCAAGAGAGAAATGGGTTACTCTATGTAAAGTGCTTTGCACATAAGAGATGCTTAGTGCACGTTAAATACTGGTATTGACGTTCCATGCAGGGAAACATGATATGGCTCTGTATTCATTCAGTTTTTGGGAACAGCAAAGATTATCTTTATAGTGGATGTATGTCAAGAAGATCTATGACATCTAAGTGTTAAAGAGTTAATCCTGGCCAGGCGCGGTGGCTCATGCCTGTAATCCCAGCACTTTGGGAGGCCGAGGTGGGCAGATCACTAGGTCAGGAGATCAAGACCATCCTGGCTAACACAGTGAAACCCCGTCTCTACTAAAAATACAAAAAATTAGCCAGGTGTGGTGGCAGGTGCCTGTAGTCCCAGCTACTTGGGAGGCTGAGGCAGGAGAATGGTGTGAACCTGGGAGGTAGAGCTTGCAGTGAGCCAAGATCCCGCCACTGCACTCCAGCCTGGGTGACAGAGTGAGACTCTGTCTCAAAAACAAAAACAAAAACAAAAAAAAGAAAAAAAAAAGTTAATCATAAATTTTGAGCTCTTGTTTAACAAAAACAAAATCTTATAATACGATAAATACATACAGTCCAGTCATCTTCTCTTCAACAAACACCAAAAATGTAAAAATATATTATTGGAGATTAAGTTATCTAAAATATTATGTGGCTTTTAAATGGTTAGGATTGTAATTATTAGATGAGTATCAGAAAATAAATTATTACAAAACAACCACTTTTTGTAAATAGACATTCATTTTGCTTATTCATGATCCACTTTGGTAAAAAGAAATATGGTATAGCCTGAATTACAAAGACAACTGCACTTTTATCCTTGAAGAGGTGTTCTCTTAATATATTGTTCACTTTGGCTCAAAACTAAAACTTTTTATAATAAGAGGCTTTCATTTCTCCATCTGACTGTGTCCCATCAGTGGCAATTTGTTTCTCCTGTGAGTGTGATGATCTATCTTTAGTGCCCTATTTTCTGCTCTCTGGAGATGAACACATTTTGTGACTAAAGAATTATGGAGGCTCCTAAGCAGTGACCGACATTAGCACTTGTTTCTACTGTCTCCACAACGATCCAGGAATAATAGAATGGAATTGAATTGTCACACTTAATTTCAGGGTATAATCTATGAAGTTACTACACAAAGATCTGGGTCATTTATATTTAGATAGTATTCTCTTTCAGTCTGAAGTATACTAACTCTCATTTATGGTGGGAATTCATTTATTCCAAAAATTTATTAGACATACAATTATATGAGATTGTGAGTCATTTACATCTAGATAGGATATTTAAATAATTGTATTTCCAAATACTTTTAAGATATGAAAATTTCCAATATATGAACAATGTTATTCAAAGTCTGCAAAATGAATTGAAGTTCTAGGACCTAATTTAAACTGCTGAAATGATGTACATAAAACTCTATCTTGAGAAGGCACAGAAGGTCTTCACTTATACTTTATTTTAGTTATGCCTTTATTTTCCTCATTCACTCAAAAAACAATGCTTTCATTCAAAAATGCTGTTATCCATGTAACTTAAAATGATTGTAATGACCCTATTAGGAGCAAGATATTTTGTAGAAAATTATAGTAGATTCATTGATCACATAAATAGATTACTCAATATAATTTCAAAGAAAAGACCTACAGGGAAAATAGTTGCTCTGCAGTCTATAAAATGTAAAATTAGTTGGAACTGTATAAAACCCCAAACTGGTTTTTAAGAGGAAATAAATTTGATACACTTACCTACTCAAATTTATTTTCCCAAATATTTGTTTAGGTTATAAATCAAATGTGCTTTTTCAAAGGAAATGTTAGCAACAGAAAATTTTAAGGAGTTCAAACCTCACATTTGAGAGAGCAGAGAAACCTAAATAGATTAAATTGTATTTCCCAAATAACTCAATGTATGAAAGTCAATGTTTAAACCTAGGTCAAAAGTGCTACTCATTTTATAACATTAGTATCATTAAAATTAAAATGATGCTTTTTAAATTTTATTCATAATCTTGAATTACTTCTTCTGGTTTTTTAGATAATAGATATTTAAATTTTTGTTTACTTACACAATATTTACACATTTTTAAGGTAGAAGTGAGTTTACATAAGTTCAACTAACTCTTATACTAAAAGTCAGTTACCAAATAATTTTCTTATTTCAATTCGCACAACCAAAATTCAATAAAAAGACATCTGAATGTTTGAATATATGTATGGTGCATGGTAAACTTAAATTTGGGATTACTCTGATGTAGTAATGTAGTATATTCTTTCTGTATATCCTGCTAAAACTTATTTAAAATAATAATTTTTAAAAGCCTGAATCCATTAAAAAATTACAAGAGATTTTTGCCTACATACAGATATGCATTTTTTTCTTTAAAAATTTGTGAGCTGAAAATAATTTGAGGGCAGTTATCGTCATATAGAGGCATTTTATTAAACAAGGATTAATATTAATGGTTAGTATTAATATTAATTTTATCTAAAACTATGTCTGATTTTTCTAAATTCTCTGACTTGCTAATAATGTTAAACATTAGGTTTAATATATATAATTAGGTATGTGAGGATGCACTATATAAATAAAATTGTTTTTAACATTTTGTAAGGTCTGCTACTTTACAAGTTTTATTACCTTTGCTCCATTTTTGATACCAATATTTTAACTGTGATAATTATGCTGGAGACACCAAATCAAGGCATGTTTATATAATCACACTCAAGGATCTCAAGGGTGATTTTCTGGTTATATTATGAAAATTGTAAAAGGAATCAAGTGTATATTTCAGATAATAACTCTTAATAAATCATATAAATCTATGTGATAGATATAGATATAGTAAAACATATAGATATAGATATATTCAGCAACTTTGTAATTTATCAAAAGGTTTTGGTTAAAACATAAGACATTCCTCAATATAGAATTAGTTCTAAAAATTTGTTGCTATGAAGAATGTTAACAACTTAGCTTCCTGTTTTCTCTGAATAATGAACAATTCAAGATAGACATAGAAGTAAAGCACAATGACATAAAAATGTGAGCTTTGTAGCTCATAGTGTTGTTGGCGTGGTGCTTAGCAGCAGGGATTTTCCTACACTACACTCCAGTACAGGGCAGCCTTACCTAGTCAGTCATACATGGAGCAGAAACTTTATTGCTAAATTTACAGCATAGCAGAGGCAGAACAGAATTCATTCTCACTGCAGGCTGGGACATCCTGAAGAGAAAAACACATGGAATGGGTGATATGAGCTACCCTAGTTTATTTCTTTCCTCCAATATCTGCAATCACCTCCACTATTGAGGAGCTGGTGAACACAGGCACAGGAGCAGTGCTCTAAATGACATTAGATGCCCTTCAATATCTTTGTCAGTCTAAATTCAAAGGAAGCATTTTAACTCAAGTAAAAAGAAGACTAGAAAAGAAAGATAACCCATATGGGAATAGCAGAATTTTGTTGTTGTTGTCGTCGTTTTAAATAATCTCTTGTTCTTGGCCAAGGGCACTCTGAGCTAGAAGAAAATATTTAGGAGAAGGATGAGAAATGCTTCTGTACTGAATAAGGGAATTACTCCCAGATGGCAGTGGTGTAAATCTACTTTGATAACAACAATATAGATATATTAAAATATGTTTATAGAAAACGTCTGCAATCTTTTTAGAGTGTAGAGTCCTTCTTGATGGCCTTAATTTATAAAAATTAAATTATCTTATTTAATTAAAAACTGCAAGAGATAACATTTTCTCCTCATAAGGTTCAATCAAGTATTTTTCTTTTGAATGAAGAAACAAATAATACATTGTCTGGAAACAATTCTTTGATTTAGTAGTTAGCAGTGAACAGTTGATATGGTTTGGATGTTTTATCCCCTCCAAATTTCATATTAAAATGTGATCCGGTAATGTTGGATGTGGGGCCTAGAGGGAGGTATTAGGTCATGGGGGCAAATCCCTCATGAATGGCTTGGTTCCCTCCTCTGGGTAATGAGTGGTAAAGAGTTTACAGGAGATCTAGTTGCTTAAGAGTGTGGCACCTTCCCTCTCTCTCTTGCTCCCTCTCTTGCCCTATGAAGTGCTGGCTCCTCTTCCAGTTCTACCATGATTGTAATCTTCCTGAGGCCCTCACCACAAGCAGATGCTGGCACTATGCATTGTGTACAATCTGCAGAACCAAGGTCCAAATAAATCTATTTTCATTATAAATGACCCAGTCTTAGGTATTTCTTTTACAACAACACAAACAGACTAACACGCTGGTGAAAATCAACTTAAATCCTTAAATACAGGTAATCTAAGAGTTGTGAAATTTATATTTCCCCTTCAAAAATTAGCATTCTAAATTCTCTCCTTACACTTTGTTTTACTTTATACCCTTCCAACTTCCTATGCTCAAGTTTTCAGAAGACATTGAAGAACATCACATCATTAGAAAGAAGCAGAAAAAAAAAATTGGCTACGAAAATTAACCATACAATGTATTGAATTAATAGAGTTTTGCTGAACAATTTTTGCTAATGGAGTTTATATTTTTAGGTATAATATTTTCCTGCATGATATCATTAGACAGTTTTTTTAAATGTAAGATATTTGCAGCAAATGGTCCCAGGGATCCCAATTATTAAATAAAACACAAATATAAATCAATTGCAGTATATTGAATATGCTTTAATAATTACTTTAGGTAGCTCTGAAAGTAGAGTTACAAGATTGAGAGGCATTTTGTCTTCTGGGAAGGCTTTAAAAACATTAAGCTAGATTTCCCGCCATCAAAGATTTATATGTAAGAGATTTGTCTTCATTTTGTTGTAATTAGAGCAAACGATTTGCCCATGGGGCATCGAAACTTAAAATGAGTTTGACATCGCAACACAGTCTATATTCTCTGAGGAAAAATTAAAGGAAACTAAAGGATTTTATTTTTCAGACATCAAATCACAAAACAAAACAGTTAGTCCAATTTTCTTTGGGTTCTCAGTGGTACGTTTATGTCTTCAGGGTTTAAAAAAACACACCGTTTTGCATGCTTAAAAATAAAAGATTCGGTTCAAGAGTTCACCTTTGTACCATCTTTGCAATTTTTCTTTAAATCTGTAGGTCTAAAACTTTGCTAAAATAAAAAACGTTTACTGAGAAACAAGTTCACATGAGTTGCTTGCTGAAAGAAACTGCTAAAGGGAATGCACTAAGATATGGAACACAATTATACAAAATAAATACTCATCGAACATGCCAGATGTTTCCTAAATTTAAATCGTTAAATGGCCATCGTGGAAGAAACATTTTAGTTTTGAATTCTGTAATAAGCAAAATAATTTTCTTATATAGAAACATTTGTTCCTTTGTGTATAAACCAAATCAAATATCATATATAAGTGATGCATAAGATACGAATCATGTATAATGTAGCTTATCCAAACATATTTTAAATAAACCTGTCAGTATTGTTTATATTATCAACATAGAACTGTTTTAAGATAAATCATTTCTTTATTTTTCATCTCAATCAATATTCATAAGAGACGATATAAGTTAGATGACTCAGCTCACCTACACTGAAAGCATTGGATAAGTGAATTACAATTTTTGCTCAAATATGGAAAAAATCTGACTGATTATAATTGAAATCATGAACTGCCATTTACTTTTCCTGCAAACTCTTTACTTAATATAAAATCTAGACATTAAAGAAATTAATTTATCCTCTTAAGTGCTATAAACATTTTCTCTCATTTCATTATTTTTTTAATTGTCAATTTTGATAGTGTTCAACTAGAGGTCGAGAATAGGAAATCCACTAACACAGGTTCTGTTTTCATATATTTTTGAAACATTGAAGTCAACCTGAACCCAACTCCACTCTTGAGGCTAATGTTGAAATACCTGGCTGAAAGCAATGCCAAACCAATATCTCTGAAATATAGAGAAAGTTCGCTATTATAATTTTCTTTATGATTTTATTTATACATTAATGTATCTATGAGAGAGCAAATATTAGACTTGAAAAATAATATGTTTTACTTAAAAACATGCTAAGGTCTACAACTTGTTATTTCTTAACTATATGACCTCGGGTGGGCCAGTTATTTAGTTTCTCATTGCCTTGGTTTTCTTTCTCGAAAAGTGAAGAATTGTTTTCTTTGTAATTATCTCATAATTATTTTCCGAAAACTTAAAACACTGGAAACATTGGCTGGCATTGAGTAAATTATTAGTTTGTAGTATTAATATCGATTCACATTTTTCCTACTTAAAATTATATAATGACTCCTCATTTTCTGCATGATTTTATAGGATATAAATTTAGATACAAACCAAGACATATTTGAAATAACGTTTTATACATTCAACCTCACATTTATTGGTTGAAACTCCACATTTCTCTGTATTTGATAGCTTAGGTGATGTTCACATCTTATTTTGCCTCATTATTGAACAGTGTCTTACCTAATTTTCTATATGTAATAATTTATTTACTCTTGTCTGGCTTTCATGATAGTGTATACTGCATATTTTGAGACATAGTATATTTAATTATTTTTTTGCTCAAAAAGAAAACTAGTTTTCAACACATTCTATGAGGTTATGGTACTCCTGATACCAACACCACAGGAAGGTGCTATGAGAAAGAAGAAAATAAGCTTTATGAACATAAATGGAAACAGTCTAAATAAACCTTTAGCAAGTAGAATTTGACAACAAAAAAGAATAACACACCTGATAAAGTGGGGTTTGTCCCAGGATTACAAATTTGGAATAACTTTTCAAAACCAGTGTAACTCACTATATTAAAACACTAAAAAAAAAGTAAAACAAAAATACTTGATTATCTTTGATCATCTCTACAGATTGAGAAAGAATATTTGACTAAAGTCTTATGTTATCTTTTCTAATTAAAAAAAAATCCAAAACTCAGCAAACCAGGAGTCAAATATATATCCTCAAAATGGTAAAGAGAATATTTGAAAATTCTATAGCACACAACATATTTAATGGTATTATAAGACTGATTTATTTCTCCCTAGGATCAGGAAATATGCAAGGATATCTACTCCTACTGAAACTTGTACTAGAGAATCTAGCCCGTTCAATCAGTTATATGGTTTGGCTGTGTTCTTACCCACAGTTCTTCTTGAATTGTAACTTCCACAATTCCCACATGTCTTGGGAGGAACTCCGTTGGAGGTGATTGAATAATGGGGGTGGGTCTTTCCTGCACTGTTCTTATAATACTGAATGAGTCTCCCAAGATCTGATGGTTTTAAAATGGGACTTTCCTTGCACAAGCTCTTTTTTTGCCTGCTGATGTCTGCATAAGATGTGACTTGCTCCTTCTTGCCTTCCACCATGATTGTGAGGCCTCCCCAGCCATGTGAAACTACCAGTCCATTAAATCTCTTTCTTTTGTAAATCACCCAGCCTCGAGTATGTTTTTATCAGCAGCATAAAAATGGATTAATACAGTAAATTGGTACCAGTAGAGTGGGGTGTTGCTGTAAAGATACCTGAAAATGTGGAAGCATCTTTGGAACTGAGTAACAGGCAGAGGTTGGAACAGTTTGGAGGGCTCAGAAGAAGACAGGAAAATGTGGAAAAGCTTGGAACTTCCTAGAGACTTGTTGAATGGCTTTGACACAAATGCTGATAGTGATATAAACAATAAGATCTAGGCTGAAGTCGTCCAGATGGAGATGAGAAACTTGTTGGGAACTGGAGCAAAGGTGACTCTTGTTATGTTTTAGCAAAGAAACTGGAAGCATTTTACCCCTGCCCTAGAGATCTGTGGAACTTTGAACTTGAGAGAGATGATTTAGGGTATCTGGTGGAAGAAATTTTTAAGCAGCAAATCATTAAAGGATTGATTTAGGTGCTACTAAAGGCATTCGGTTTTATTAGGGAAGTAGAGCATAAAAGTTCAGAAAATTTGCAGCCTGACAATGCGATAGAAATGAAAATCCCATTTTCTGAAAAGAAATTCAAGCTGGCTGCAGAAATTTGCATAAGTAACAAGGAGCTGAATGTTAATCCCGAAGACAATGGGGAAAATGTCTCTAGGGCATATCAGAGGTCTTCATGACAATCCCTCCCTTCACAGGCCTGGAGGCATAGGAGGAAAAAAACAGTTTTGTGGGCCAGGCCCAGGGTCTGTATGCTGTGTGCAGTCTAGGGCCTTTGTGTCCTGAGTCCCAGCTGATCCAGCCACGACTAAAATGGGCCAAGTTACAGCTCAGGCCATGGCTTCAGAGAGTGAAAACCCCAAGCTTTGTCAGCTTCCATGTGGTGCTGAGCCTGCAGGTGCACAGAAGTCAAGAATTGAGGTTTGAGAACCTCTTCCTAGATTTCAGAGGATGTATGGAAACACCTGGATGTCCAGGCAGAAGTTTGCAATGCGGGCAGGTCTCTCATGGAGCACCTCTCCTAGGGCAATGAAGAAGGGAAATGTGGGGTCAGAGCCCCTACACAGAGTCCCTACTAGAGCATTGCCTAGTGGAGTTGTGAGAAAAGGGCCACTTTCCTCCAGACCCCAGAATGGCATGTCCACTGACAGCTTGCACCATGCACCTGAAAAAGCCACAGACACTCAACACCAGCCTGTGAAAGTAGCCAAGAGGGAGGCTGTACCCTGCAAAGCTACAAAAGGGGAGCCACCCAAGACCATGGGAGCTCACCTCTTGCATCAGCATGATCCAGATGTGAGACACAGAGTCAAAGGAAATCATTTTGGAGCTTTAAGATTTGACTGCCCCACTGGATTCTGGACTTGCATAGGAGCCTGTAGCCATTTGTTTTGGCCAATTTCTCCCATTTGGAGAAATTACTTTGAATGGGAGTTCAAAGTAATTTGAATGGGAAATTACTTTGAATGGGAGTTCAAAGTAATTTGAACAATGAAATTGTTTTGGCCAATTTCTCCCATTTGGAGCTGCAATTACTCAATGCCTGTACCCCCATTGTATCTAGGAAGTAACTAACTTGCTTTGATTTTTACAGGCTCATAGGCAGAAGGGACTTGCTTGGTCTCAGATGAGACATTGGACTATGGACTTTTGAGTTAATGTTAAAATCAGTTAAGACTTTGAGGAATTGTTGGGAAGGCATGATTGGGTTTGAAATATGAGGACATGAGATTTAGGAGGGGCTAGGGGTGGAATGATATAGTTTGGCTGTGTCCCCACCCAAATCTCATCTTGAATTGTAACTCCCACAATTCCCACATGTCATGGGATGAACCTGGTTGGAGGTGACTGAATTATGAGGGCAGGTCTTTCCTGAGCTATTCTTCTGATACTGAATGAGTCTCACAAGATCTGACGGTTTTAAAAATTGGAATTTCCCTGCACAAGCTCTCCTTTTGCCTGCTGCCATCCACATAAGCTGTGATTTGCTCCTCCTTGCCTTCTACCATGATTGTGAGGCCTCTCCAGCCATGTGGAACTGTAAGTCCATTAAACCTCTTTCTGTTGTAAATTGCTCAGTCTTGAGTATGTCTTTATCAGCAACATAAAAATGAACTAACACAATCAGTCAATAAAAGAAAATTTTAAAAACTTTGTTCAACAATCATTTGTGTCTTTCACCTGCCTTCTCATCTGAACCCTGGTTTTGATACTTTCTTCAATTCTTTCCCCTTAACCATTTTCCTGGGAATGACTTAAATTCACCTTCTTTTGCAGAGAAGACCTTTGGTCCAAAGTAATTCCATAACTCTTGCCAGTCATTTGCTCATAAATAGACATGTAATCTAATTCTGTCAAATGGGAAATCGGGGGTACCTACCCAGAAGTTTCTACAAGAAAAAGTAGGCTTTCTTTCTTTAAAAAGATTTACACTAGTAAGAAGTCACTTCTTTTTCTTATTGTTTCTAGATCACCTGAATGAACCATATTCATCATATCTGAACTTTAAGGCAAAGTTCCAATAGGATGAGCTTGACAAAGTTCATTGACACTGACATTGACAGAGGTAGAAGAAATTTACATCTCAACTTTGAGTTGATAATTGTAACCGATTTCTGGGCCATAAGTCATAAGGGAATGTCTTCTGGGATTTTTTTCTTGTAAGTTTGCTGTCTCTAAAGAGAATTATAGGAAATGATTGTTTATCATGTTTTTTTTTTAGATGAAGCTGGGAAATTGAGGTTTCTGTAAATTCTCAGAATTCTGTTAACATACAAATGAATTGAACACCATAGTTTAGAGAATGGGGGGCAAAATAGTCTAAATCCAAAAAGATTCTATTGCTATGCCACAGAATCTTAATGCCAGTCCCACTATTAAACTGCTTGTATGAAAAAAATCATACTAACACCTTCATATTAGAAATGTTTGCAACCAAATATATACTGATAGAGCTGCCAGTGTTTTATGAACACACTAACTGTGATAGAATAAATCACTGTGAACTTTTCTGAGGGCAATTTGCCATTATATAACAAAAGCCTAAAAATCTCACTCTTCAATTTTTTAATCTAAAAATAATTCCTAAGGAAATTGTTTCAATGAAAAATGAGTATTTATACAAGAATGTTCACAACAGAATTATTTATAAAAGTGTAAATTTATAAAATGATAATCATCTACAATAGCCTGTTGCTGAATACACAGATCCACAATGTTAACATTTTCCAGCTTTTTAAAAAGTGTTTCTGAAGTTAATTGAATTAGCTTGAGGATATATTTAGGATTACAGGTTAGTAAGAAATGTAGGACAATAATTTGCTTATGCAGATTTATCTAAATCATGTTAATGTGTAGAACATGTGACGGATATATTTTTCAAATGTTTTCTATATTGTATAGTTTCATTTTTTAAAATGAGAAAATTCTACTGTCATTAAAGAAAAGTAATAGACAAACTCTGTCTATAATAAGCTTAACTATGAGTCATAGTAGTAAGACAAAAAAACCTAGAAACTTGATTTTGGGCTACAGTTAAGCACTGCTGTAATTTAAGATTAATAAGGTAAAAAAGGATATATTTAAAAGTGTTTCTTCTATTCAGGGTCACCTCTAAAATTTAAATGTTCCTTTTAAATTAAATATAATTTAAATTTTAAAATAAATATAATATGTTGCATGTTCTTATCAGATAGTACATGTTCTGATGGAGCACAAATAAATTTGTAGTTATCATGACCAAAAAAATTCATAAAAATTGTTTGATCATTAATTAACTATATTATTATAAAATATGTAAGGTTAAAGCAAGAGTTATATATTTTTAATGTTCATTGTCTTTAGATCACTGTGTCATTAAACAATGAAAAACATACAATTTGGCTAGTGAATTTATGACTTCATAACATTTTTAGGCACTGTAATAGGTCAATATTAGACTTGAGCAATTCAAATTCTCAAGGAAATTGTGCATGTTTATATTTTAATTTTATCTTATAAATAAGTATGAACAAGTATTCATGTCCTATATGAGGAAGTCTCCTAGGGTACTCTCCTCACTAACCATGGTTAGCATCAGCATTTTGCACTCAGCCAAGATTTTAGTTTCAAAACTTCTATTGATAAACACTCTGCATAGCTCCAATGAATTAAATCACATTAGGAAAACATGGACCAAGTTAGATTTTCCTTGTATGCCTAGCACTTAAAACCAATCCAAAGGGAATGTAAAACCCCCCACATATGGCTCAAGTACAGTTACAAACCAAGGTTGCATGTAAATGAGAATGCATAGGCAGCATTGCCATCTGTCCACAAAGTCCTTCCTGATTTGCTTGTCTAAAATGTTACAGGCTTAGTTAAAGCAAGCAGCACCGCCGGGAAAAGTGAGGAAGACAGCTGCCTCCTCTCTGCAACAGAGCAAGGCAACACTCACTAATAGGAATTGGGACCTGTCTAATCACAGAAATCTCAAATGGTTTCTCAGCAGTCTATCCATCCATCACCGGCACAGCCGAATCCTTAAAATTTTCTATGCATGAGTAATGACTAATCCTTTTGCTCTATTCAAATGAGATTTCTTGCCTTTTATAGATCATAGGCTACTTTAATTTAAAAAAAAAGAAGAAGAAGAAAAATAAAAGATGCTTTAAGTGCAATTGGCTTTAGATTTCAACAGTAAAATATTACATAGCACACAGTGGTATAGCTTTCATTCAAAGATAGATACATGAGATGCCTTGTTTCTATTATAGAGATTGGGGTCACTTCAAATTTAGTGTAAATAACTTACATTGCATATCCATGACAATTTAAACCAGTTCAAATACTCAAGTGGTTGAAGAAGTGAAGACACTGTCTCAGCTATAGTTATTGGATTCATATATCATTAGTCATGTTAAGACTTCTTGCATGTAAAGATAAAAAGGGAGTTATGGGTCGGGCGCGGTGGCTCATGCCTGTAATCCCAGCACTTTGGGAGGCTGAGGCAGGCAGATTACCTGAGGTCAGGAGTTTGAGACCAGCCTCAACATGGAGAAATCCCGTCTCTACTAAAAATACAAAAGTAGCCGGGTGTGATGGTGCATGTCTGTAATCCCAGCTACTCGGGAAGCTGAGGCAGCAGAATTACTTGAACCTGAGGGGCGGAGGTTGCGGTGAGCTGAGATCATGCCATTGCACTCCAGCCTGGGCAACAAGAGCAAAACTCCATCTCAAAAAAAAAAAAAAAAAGGGGGAGGGGGGAGTTATGTTGCCTTTTTCTTAAGCAGGCTATTGGTTATACCAACTACATGTGAACTAATAGAGAAATGCAATTGTGCCCGTTGAGAAAAACTTCTGTTTAATGGCAAACAACTGTTCTTTCAACCATTATTTTTCAACGATTTTTGTTGATGGTGTCACTTATAAACAAGTAGGTACATCATTCGTTTCTTTTAATACCAATCATCAACCCAAATGAAAACACTCCATGAAGAAAATGGGCTTTCAGTTAGTGTTTGTTTTCAGAGAAAATTACTTAACATAAATAATCTATCTGTAGTTATCAGTCTTGCAATATTATTGTTAATATTAAATAAATGACAGCAAGTTTTTGGCATATAGGAAGCTCTCGGTAAATGGTATGTACATTCACTTATTCACCAAATAAATGTTTAGAGTTCTTGCTACAGAAAATACACTGGTTCATTCTGAGTAGTTAACATTAACAAATAAACACTTCCACCGTTTAGCCATTTTATAACGTTTAACACAGTAGGTTTGTTACACAGAAGTTCATAATATGCCATAATCAGAACAAAATGTAACTATGGAATTTTAAAAAGTAATGATTCCAGCATATGGAATATAGATAATCCATGTAATTGATGTTAATCTCTATCACAATTTTCTGTTTTTAAGCATAACCATCTCTTAAAATATTATTTAAAATATCAGTTTTATCCACTTAAATATGGTTGTTCTCCCTTGAGTGTTTAAATGAAGTTGCAGTCATTATATAACATGAAAGATATTTATTGTACTTGAGGATATCATACAGGGTTTCCCTCATGGAATGATGTGAAAGACCCTAGAAAATCAATCTGTCTCCAATGTCTATTAACAGCAACATTCTACCCTTTATTAATATATGCAACTATATTACTGTTCTTTTAGAAAATTAAATTATTCTGCTAAGTTATATCACCATTCCAATTGGTTGCCTACCCAATGATCATTTACTGCATCATTCCTTTCAAATAGGATGCTGATTTTTGTCCACCCCTCTACACATGACTCACAAAAGGTGGTCCCTTAGCAGGTTCCAGGGGCATATTCTGATTGATCTGAGACCAGCATAGCAATCTTATATTATAGTCATTGGTTGAATGTGGAAGAGCTTATGACTGATAGTAACTGATGAGAATAAGGAAAAGTTTTCTGTGGTTTTAAGAAATATGTCCTTTCTCCTATAAAAAAAAAAAAAAACAGGAACACAGAATCCCTCTTTTTGTGAATGTTATTTGGTCTACATGTGAAACCTGAAAACACTTTAAGTAATACATTTTGCACAAGGTTGGCGCAAAAATATATAAGGCAACAGAAACAACAAGTAAAAGTTTGAACCAGGGAATATTTGAAGGTTGCTCAGTATCTGGACTTCCTATTACATAAAATCATGTAGATCCTTCTTTTATAAGGAAGTTTCAGTTCAGCTTTCTTTAATTTGCTGCCAAGATCATCCTAACTGCTAATTATTACTCCACTGCAAATTAGTTTTATCATTTCTTTTCTAGTGAGTAGGGCAACATTGGTAGTGAGGGAGCTGAGAAAATGAAGTGATAAAATATAAATGGTATATATGGTAACAGAATATAAAATAATATATGGTAACAGGAAAGGAAAATCAAGCTACCTTCTTCAAAATTTTCTGCAATGCATAATTTTTAGTTCGATACGCCCAAATGCCAAACTTGTACTTCAAACAGGTTGTTCTCAGAGCTAATATTAAATCACAAGTATTGCTCTAAAAATAGGATTAACAGAGTTAAACAGAACGTTTTAAATTTTCTAACACTAATCTAATAATCTCATTTGCATAGGTCTAAATTTGCATGTGTTAAAATTTAAATGTAGATTTTAAACTCTTACACCTTCTCAAATACTACCACAATGTATTTTGTAACATATTGCAGAACAAAGTTGTGTGTTTGAATTTCTTAAAATCAAGTTATCTACCCTGTTAAGGATCAGATTACCGTAAATAAAAGATAATGTATTTATCTTTTTTTCATCCTTACAATATCAGATTTTATGTTAAAATCAGATTAGAGGAAGCAGAGATAGAAGAAGGACTTTGTGAAAACCCCTCTATAGAAAACCTACATTAACTCTACCTTTCCCTAAACTTACAGATTTCCTAAGAACTTTGTGGCAGGCCCTGTAGATTGGTTACTGAACATTCACTTGTTACTCATTCCTCTGCTATAAAGACGGGAACTCTAAAGCACACCTTCCTAGACTACATGGAGTGTCCTGTGCAATAGCATTAGTCCATAACTGTAGTAAGTATGAAGTAGTTTTTGTTTGGGTCATCTGAAAGTATTAAAGACCCAAGATTTTACTATTTACCCTTCACTTTTATCTGCCCCTTGTTTCTGACTCTTCTACCTGCTTAGAATACAGATTGAAAGCCTTCCCTAACAAAAAAGATTTTGAGACGGACTTTTTTTTCTAGCTACTACAAGGTATATTTTATATTGCAAATTTAATTTTTGTGTTTTTTAAAATTACACAAGAGATTCATTAATATTCTGCAATTGAATGACAAACACTTACAGAAATGCAAAAAGATCTTTATCATTTCTTAAGAGATGGAATGTTTTCCTACCTACCATCCAAATACACACAATGATGAAGGCATTCATCATTGAGGTTGGAGGACATAGCTCAGTATGAAGTTCAAATGGGTTTCTCTCTGAATCCCAGGATAAAGCTTGACTACTCAATTACATATCTTACTAGTTATGGACAAGCTTCTCCATATAAAAGTGTTGACAGTTGTGAAACCTCGAATCTTGCCTCATTAGTTTAAAAGAATTTAAACAGGAGACACAGAGCAAAGCTGCTGCAGCATAGAGCAATTTATTGCAAAGGAGAAAGCACACTCTGAACATTAGGTACAGAAAAGATTACTCCCTCAGAGATGGTTCAGAGCAGGCTGCTCGTAAGGATGAGACAGTGTTAACTATTACTGGGGAAACTCCCTTTACAGGAGTCTTACATGATTATTCATAATGGGGTTGGAAGAGGTCTTACTAGTATTCTGGGTGGTCCTCTGGGTGCGACATGAGCAGTGGCTGTACATGCTTGTTTATACATAACATGTCTCATTCGCATCTTAAATCTCCACCCAGGGGTGTGTTTTTAATATTACAATGAGCGAAGGGTCAGCCTGAGGACAGGTAAAATTAAAATGCACATCTTCTTGCCAGGGGAAATTCCCTACTGGAGATAGCTTTGCCTAAATGAGTTTGAGTACCATGTGAATGCTGGGACTTATTGTGTTGACGGTGTAGTCACCTTGGTTGCCATGTCCTGAGGACATTACTTCCTTGACTACCTATTCTACCTCAGAAGGAAGGTCTAGCCAGATAAGACAGAAGCCATGATGGAGACAATACACACTTATTCTCCATGTGGATAGATTTGGTCGCCACAAAAATGTAGGCAAGGGTAAGCTCCACATACCCAGTTATTCTTCTGAAATGTACCAAAGAGATGAAGCACTTCACGACCTCACCCCCAGCTGCGTGTAGTGACTCATGCCTCTAATCCTAGCACTTTGGGAGGCAAAGGCAGGTGGATCACTTGAGGTCAGGGATTCAAGACCAGCCTGAACAACATGGCAAAACCTTGTCTCTACTAAAAATACAAAAATTAGTCGGGCGTGGTGTTGTGCACCTATAGTCCCAGCTGCTTGGGAGGCTGAGCCAGGAGAATCGCTTGAGCCCAGGAGGTGGAGGTTGGAGTGAGCAGAGATAACTATACTCCACCCTGGGCAACAGAGTGAGACTTTGTATCAAAAAAAACAAAAACAAAAACAAAAAAACCAAAGACCTTACCTCCATCCCGGCAGATTGGATAATGAGCAATGGATGTAAAAATGTAAATTTTCTCAAAAGTTAATATGTCTTACTTATCTTCCTAAGTTCTATATATTCATTGCATGGGTTTGATATTAAGGTTTGCTACAAATTCATTCAAGTAACGTAGTATTTGAGAATATCTAGAGAAAATCTTTTTAGGAACCAGAAACGATTTTTATCTTTAACCTTTAAAAATGCTATTGATTTTGTATTGATCTGGTAACTATGATATCACTTTTAAAGATAATTTTAAACATTTACTTATCTTTCTTTAAACCATGTTCAATTTTAAACATTTACTTATCTTTCTCTAAACCATGTTCAACATTTGCTTCATTTCCAGCTTATGTTTCTAAAGTTATATTTCTTTCTTCATTAGGGAAAGTATTTTGGTGAATACCAGCTATAATTAGTAATATCCATTGGCTAATATTTACATTATAACAATCTTTAC
Organism: Homo sapiens; assembly: GCF_000001405.40. NCBI lineage: Eukaryota > Metazoa > Chordata > Mammalia > Primates > Hominidae > Homo > Homo sapiens. The sequence goes on along the minus strand of NC_000005.10, from coordinate 18,806,642 downwards.
TATATTTGAATACAAGTAAAAAGAAATGTGTATGATCAATACTGAGAAAAATGTACCACTTTATTACAGGACATGGAAAAAGATAACTAATATATTTTGGATAAGTGAGATGAATCCATTATTTCAATATCGTCATAACTAAAATGCTCATAAGATTTTCATGAAATTTGAAATATATTTTCTGAAATTCTTATCAAAAGGACCTATGCAAAAATAACTGAAGTGCTATTTATAATAATAAACAAAGAAAGGGTTGCCTCTCAACTATATGTATATTTCCTAGCAAGGCCGTTAAAAGTCCTAGAAGGGTCCAAACTTGGGACTCCTTTTATAAGCCCCTTATAATCCATCTTTGGCCTGGAGCAGTCGGGGAAAGACATGGCCTTCATGCAAACATGGCTCTGGATTCCTAGCTCTGTGAGGCACATTTTCATGACCCCCACACATCAAGAAGGAAAAGATATTCAATCAAGATAAAATAGAAAATGTGTTAAAAGAGAATTTAGAAAATGCTTTTGAAATGGAATAAAAATTATATTTTTAAGCTGGACATGAAAAATTAAAGATAAAATGGGTATGAAACAATAATTTGAATTTAAATGCAAACTTTTATAAAATAAAAAGCAATATGAACAAAGATTGAGAATGAAGTTGTATACCAGGGTAAAATAAGTGAAATTTATATTAAAAAATTAACATTTAGAATTACTGTAGAATTCTCCAAATCAATAAGAAGACAGATCATTTTATTAAAATGGGCAAAGTTCTGAACATATATTTCAAAAACGACATTTCAAATGCCAAATTTCTATTGCTGTTAAGTCATGGAAGAAATGATTTTTATTTTTTCCACACCTCTGCCCCAGGGAATTAAGAACAGTATGTTACTTAATGTCACAGAACAAAACAAAACAAAGTAAGTGTGCACACACACAAACACGAAATCAAAGAGGTGTGTTTTACCTGGGGAAGAAATAAAAGTTCAGAGCCAAGAAGACAGAATGTAAGTCAGTAACTCAAATATGCAGCTTACTGACAAATCTGCCAACTGCCAAGAAAGCTGTCGATCCATGATTGATGACAAGTTGTATTTTGGATTCACTAACTCATATTTGAGAAGTGTCCTGGAGGCATTCTAGCTGAAAGATCCATGATATAAAATTTCCAACCAAGTAATGTTTCCATTACTTGAATGAATTTGAAGCAAACTTCAATATCAAATCCATGCAATGAATGTAAAGAACTTAAGTAATACATCTTGACTTTTCAGAAAATTAACATTACTATGTACAGTTTCAGATGTATATTAAATAGTGAATAACAGTTTTGCCTTCCTTTTTTTTTTAACTGTGTTTCATTTAGCTATAATTTCAAATTGACCCAATAACTTGTCTGAAAACCAGCGTTATTTTATTGGAAGAAAAATGATTAATACTTTCATCCTCATTTAAAGAAAGATTGCCTTAGAAAATACTTCTCTGATTTACTGAATAAAAAGGATAATGACAATGATGACAAAACAATTCACATTTATTAAAAACTCACTCCATGACTTGCATGCCACAAAATTGATTTCCATATACTAATTACACAAATTATCTTACAACTTTCATGTTACCAATTAGAAAAATGGATCCAGTAAAAAAAAAATAAGTAACAAAATTGAAATAACATGACTATAGGTAGCACTGATATTTGAACACAGCCAGTTTCATTTAAGAGGCTGTTTCTTCTCTGTGTGTGTGTGTGTGTGTGTGTTTGTGTGTGTGTGTGTGTGTGTGTGTGTGTGTGTGTGTATCTGTTGTTTGTTTTTGCTTTTTGCTGTTCTAATACTTTCTCCTGAACTTAAACTGGCTGGTTTAAAAATAAATATTATTATGTAAAAATATGTATTAGTGCTACTCTAAAACATCATAAAGATAAAATATTAAATTACTTACATGAATCCTTCACCCTTGTTTTGGATTCAGTAATTTGTAATATTTTAATTGACACTTGAAAGAAGATTAAGCTCTAAGAAAAGTGCATGCAGATACTTTGATAATTTGGGAAAAAAACAAACAATTTCTTGAAAAAAGTATTTACACAAGGAGTTTATTTAATATTGCTCTTTGTTTGAATTCTATTTCCCGTTTAATCTATGCTCATTTATTTTCAATTCTAAAAGAAAATTAATACCTTGAATGTGCATTTGATTAACTGCTTACTGACGTTGGTTTAGTGTCTCTATTTGGCTCTATAGTTTTTCAGAGAAGGCTCACCTCCTAATTTAAATGAACTAATATAAATGAACTCATGCACTGGTATGCTGGTGGGTGCAAAAACAGTGAAGTGTCTCTGGAGCAAAAGATCAGCTCTTCTTCCATTGACAAGTCTATGCTTTTTTCTAATGTGGTGTCTTCAAAGCTAGCTTCTTAATCACCAAAGATGAATCAATCATTTTTAGGCTGCCTCACACATTTTCTCTTTATCGTGTTAAGGCTAATTATTGTCTAGACACTGATATATTCACTGACATTTACTTTTTGGAGAACTGGAAATTGATGACAGTAAGCTTTATAAAGAGTATTGCCCTATAAAACACTAAACTCAAATAAATATAGAATACTAAAGGAATAATCTACAAACAAAACAAGATAAACATTTTGTTTGTATGTAGAAATCTTTTTTGTCCTAGTCAACAACTGATAATATGGAAGCAATCATTACATATTTAAATTGTAATATAATAATGAATTATATACAATAATGAAATGAATTACAATGAAAGACAAGAAAAATAAAAGACAAGAGTGACACACTTTTTAAACTTGAAGTGCTGTATATATTCTTCTCTATTTCATAATTAGGGCTTTGACTTCCTATAATCAAATTAATATAGCAGTGTTTGATTATAACCGCACTTTTTGAAAATATATTTCATGATATAAGAATTATTTTTTAGTCAGCCGATTCCAAATTTTGGATGACTAGAGCTTCTTTCCTGCTTCCCTTCCTCTTTCCTTCCTCTTTGTCTTCATCCATTGTTCATTTCTTCTTTTCTTTTTTCCCATCCTTCCTTCATATTTTTTCTCACTCCTCACTTCTGTCCATTATTTTCTTTTTTATTGTTATTTTTCTTTATTTCTTTCTTACATTGTTTATTAATATGTCTTGATAGAAAATTTAAAAATTTTAAAGTTCTACATTAAGTATAACTTAACATGACAAATTATATGAAAATAGTTTATATATTCTATATTACATTTTAAAGTATGAAAATAACACTCTGTATACATAGGAAAAGTCACAATAGGAAATTATTCTCTCCTTAGAGATGCTCTATGTGTATTGCATTTGTAAATATGATTACAATATCATAAACATTTTGAAATTACAATAAATATAATATTATTTTTTCTTACTATAGAACCAAGAAAATGTTAATTATTAAATTTAAAACTTTGTAAGTTTTAGCTTGTGGAAAAGAGGGTATTTTGCCTTAATGTCATTTTGAGTTAAGGTTCTTATCAATATTCTTTCTAAAAACCTTTAGGTTTTCCTCAGCCAAAAGAATCTCTCTAGATCTGTTATTGATTTTATAACATTTTTTTTCTCCAGAGTATTAGACATACTAGCCAAAGCTGGAACTAAAATGGCTTACTCTAAGTGAGAAAAACTTCCTTGAAAATGTTCTGCCTTATTAAGAAATAAATAGCCAGCCTGAAAAAAACATTACTCAGAATTTAGAAATGCAGCTATAATAATAATAAAAATCAATTTCTATTAAAAGAAAAAGATAAAAATATAAGATGTTTAAGATAGTTTTATCTTTTAAAATTAGTCTTTTTTTAAAAACTAAAAATTTTATTTAATATTTCCTGAATCATTTAAAAAATAGTCAACTTTTTATTTATTATTTTTTCCTATAAGAATGCAACACAAAAACACGAATTCACACAAACATTTCATTTACATATTTCCCATAAAAATTCCACGTTATTGCAGAGCTGAGATGTCAAATTTTCTTCTTTTTAATATTTTCTTTCTGTATTACATTAACATGTTAGACATAACCTATATATAATAACCTATGAAATGTATGACTCATGCTTTAATAATTCTGGTCTTATTTAAGTGCATTTCACCATATATGTGCAATTATTTTCATGACCAGGACATAGCTTATCATACAAAAATGCTCATTAAAGAATAGAATGGCACAGATTCAAGGTTTATTTATTAAAATATTTACCAAGTAAATTAATACATGTACATGAAGACAAGAATAGTTACAGATACTAATATTGGAACAACAATTTATTTAGGAAGAAATTAAGAGAAAGAAAAACAAATGATATATGTGTATACAAATTAGCAGAATCCCAGTTTTTATACTATTCTCAAAGCTCCGCTTTTATACTAACATCATATTTAAAGAAAAAAATCATAGGGATTTTCACTTGGTTATCAAAAATTGGATTTACAGTTCCACCTGAAACAACAAATTAAATTATTAACAGAAAAATATATGAAACCATGGTTTTTAAAAAATAGGTATCCAGCAATGAAAGATAGTGATACTAGGAAATGAGAAAGAAGATAAGCCTTGTTATTACCTGAACTTACAGCCTGGAGGAAGTTTACAGGTCACAGTGCATCAAAGGGAAACTCAGGCAAAGCCTGGGAGTTTCCTTAACTTGAACAGACCAAGCTGGCAGTACAGGGATATCAAATCTGCTAGAGATCCTATGACAGGCTACAGAAGATAGACCAGCAAAGACAGTCATCTCTAGGTCACCCTCAATTTCTCAGTGCAGTCCTGATCAGCACATGCTCATAATAAGGCTACCAAAAGCCAGGTAAACAATGACACTGTAAACTCTGAAAATTTGAGACAGGTCTCAGTTAATTTAGAAAGTTTATTTTGCCAAGGTTGAGGACACGCACCTGTGACACAGCCTCAGGAAGTCCTGAAGACAGACATGTACCCAAGGTGGTCGGGGCACAGTTTAGTTGTATACATTTTAGGGAGACATGAGACATAAATCAATACATGTAAGAAGTACATTGGTTTGGTCTAGAAAGGCGGGACAACTTGAAGCAAAGGCAGGAAGACTCAGAAGAGGGGAGGGGGCTTCCAGGTCACAGATAGGTGAGAGGTGAACAGTTGCATTCTTTCAGTTTCTGATTAGCCTTTCCAAAGGAGGCAATCAGATATGCATTTAACTCAGTGAGTAAAGGGGTAACTTGGAAGAGAATGGAAGGCAGTTTGGCCCTAAGCAGTTCCCAGCTTAACTTTTCCCTTTAGCTTAGCGATTTGGAGGCCCCAAGATTTATTTTCCTTTCACAATACAAAGGATTAAAATAAACAATAAACAGAGCCTATATAGGATCAGTTCTGAACAGTGCCTGTTCTGAAAAATCAGGGTGGTAAACTTCATCTTTCATGAGGCATTGAGTAGAGTACAAGAAGAATCTTGTTTTATTTAGTAGGGGAAGAAAATCCTAGACCAAATGTGGCTGGAGCCTTGCTTTAAAAAGCTTAAAAGCGAAACACAAAAAGATGGAACAGTTTTCAAGTTGCTTTATTGTGTCCAGGAACTAAACTCAAAATTATTTACAAAAATAACTGTAAGATCAGCCAAGAGAAAGGACGAGAGAGAGAGAGGGAGAGAGAGAGAGAGAGAGAGAGAGAGAGACAGAGACACAGACACCCAAGTTCAGGCAAGCCTTTATTCAACCTGCCAGCTGCTCCATTACAGAAAGAGGAAGCAGCCCTGTGCTTACAAAATGAGGGGTTTATATGGGGGAAAGAGACCCTGGGGTCGTTTTGTTACCGGGGGGTCCTTGCTCCCAGAGCTCCCAAGATGGTGGTGGGCCACTTCCAAAATGGCAGCGGGCCACATCCAAGATGGTGGCAAGCCTCGTGTTCTCTGACCTGGGGTTCTTGGCCTCAGGATTCAAAGGAATGGGATCTTGCGCCATGCGGTGAGTGTTATAGCTCTATTAGAAGTCATGGGTCACGGAAGAGAACCGTGGAAGCCAGTGACTAGTGTTCAGCTCGATTAGGATGAACCCAGGCACTTAGCCATGCAGGAACAATGGCAAGCCTTTAGCCCGATTCGGAGCGGCAATGGGCACCTGGCTGGATCAGGAGCACAGAGGACACCCTGCCGGATCCGGAGGGATGGAAGTCAGCAGCGGGTCTGCGAGGGTGGCAAAACAGCAGTGGTGGAGGGCGAGCAAAAGCTCAGCTCAAGCCATAACAAACACGGACTGGATGAGTGCAGTTGCAAGATTTAATAGAGTGAAAAAGAGTGGAAACAGAGCTCCCATACAAGGGGAGGGGACCCAAAGGGGATTGCCCTTGCGGGCTGGAATGCCTGGGTTTATATCCCGATCCTTGTCCTTCCCGCTGTGCTCTCAGGCAATAGATGATTGGCTATTTCTTTACCTCCTGTTTTTGCCTAATTCGCATTTTAGTGAGCTCTCTGATTGGTCGGGTGTGAGCTAAGTTGCAAGCTCCGTGTTTAAAGGTGGATGTGGTCACCTTCCCAGCTAGGCTTAAGGATCCTTAGTCGGCCTAGGAAATCCAGCTAGTCCTGTCTCTCAGTTTGTTGGTTAACTCTGCCGCATATCACCTTGTGACGTTTATGGTACTGGAGGGTGTAGGTAAAGTTCGTTTATGCTTTCCTCAACCTTCTACTCCTGTGTGATCTGGATGGTTTGTAATTGGGGTTTGCTTTATAGCAGCAAGGCCTGATAAGTAAAGTCTGTTGGCTTCCCTGTGGCGCCTAGATAAGGGCTTAGAAATGTAAAAAGGTTTGGGGGAAGGGTGGGCAGCATGGAGAAGTTTGAGAGGGAGTGTTGGCAGTACCAAGAATCTTTTTGGGGCAGTTTGTCCCTAACAATACCTAGGGTGAAGAGAAAAGAATTTAAAATATATGGTATCTACTTAAAAAATAGCAGACGTGAAAAGAAGCACAAGGTAGACTACAGTGAGGAGAATGTCAACAATCAAAATGGTTGCAGAAATGACATCAAGGATGAAATTGGTACTTATAACACCTGTATTCCCATGTGTTCAAGAAGTTAGAGGAAACACTGAAAAGTTTAAGAAGAGACATAGAAGCTATTAAAAATATGCAAAACAAATTTCTGGAGATAAAACCTTCAACATCTGGGATAAAAAATAAACTGGAAGAGATTAATGTCCAAACAGAAAAGTTTGAAGCAAAGATTTGTGAACCTGAAAACATAGCCATAGAAATTATTCAAAATAAAACATATATAGGGGCAAAAAAGAGGTTTAAAAATTACAGAGCCCCAGGGAGCTATGGAAAAATGTCAAATGGCAAAATATTACATTAATGCAACTTACAGCCCCAAATGAGAAGGAATGGAAAAATGAAAAAAATAATTGAAGAAAGAATGGCCACACTCTTATTCATATCTAATAACAGACAGAAACTCATTAATATGAAATTTTCAACAAATCTCATGAATAAAAAACATTAAGAAAATTATGCTAAGGCACATCTTAATCAAATTACTTTAAACCAGCCATAAAAAAGCATAAACACAGCCAGACTAAAAAAAATTTTAAAAGCCAGTATACACACTGGAAAAAAGGTATAAACATGTTAACAGATTTTTGTCAGAAACAATTCAGACTAGAAGACAGGTGAGCAATTTCTTTAAAGTAATGAAAGAAATAAATTATCCGACTAGAATTTTTTTGTACCCAGCAAAATTGGTTTTCTAAGTGGAGATAAAATAAAGGCTTTTATAGAAAAATAAAACCTATAAATAGTATCATTATTAGGGTTGCACTGCAAGAAATGATAAAGAAAATTCTCCAAGTAGGAAGATAATTATACTAGATGCAACTGTGGATCTATCTAAATTCATGAAGTACTGGAAATGGTAACTATATAGGTAATTAAAAGACTTTTCTTATTATTTAAATTTCTTCAGAAAATAATCAACTATTCCAAGTAAAACTAATATTGTAATGTGGTATCCATAACACATATAGAAGTGAGATTTATAACAAAAATAGAGAAAAGGCCTGGAAGGAAACAATCCTGCTGTAAGGTTCTTTAATACACCTGGAGTGTACATAAAGTGTTATTGTTATAGTAGTTATTAAGAAATTATTTTAGGCAGCTAGAGAGGAAAAGGGGTCCTTGGGAAATGTTTGTTTCTTTTCTAGCAGGAAAGAAATGTTTCTTGTCTAGCAGGAAAGCCCGGGCTCTTAGAGCTGGGCTGGCAAGCTTTGATATGCAAAGGTAAGCCATTAGAAACTGGGTCCACCCAAACATGGCGATTCCCTCTGTCTTCCCCTTGCCCCCACATGTGCCTGGCAACATGGCCCTCCCCACTTATGGCATTTGCATATTAAAAGACTAGGGTGGGAGGGCCAGTTTTTTCTTGGGGTATGTGAATGACATGACTGCTCAAACAAATCCCCTGAGCCCTAGGCAAATCAGACACTGCCTCCTCCAGCCTCCTCATATAACTGGCTGTTTTCTGCCATACTTGGGGTTTCCTTTCTCAGCTTGGAGCCTCCCTCCGTCTGTCTCTGTATGGGGGAGCTTCTTCCTTCTTTCTTGCCTACTAAACTCTCCATTCCTTAAAACCACTCCATGTGTGTCCATGTCATTTTATCTAAATCGGTGGGAGACCAAGGACCCTGCTGTTCCTCCAGTCATCGAAGCTCTATCAGTATATTACTTGAAGGTAGAATGTGATGAGCTAAAGAGTTTCACAGCTCTAAAGCAATTAACAAAATAACAACTACACCTAATAACCCAAAAAGGCAAATACATAATATAATAAATAGACTACCTAAAATAAAAAATAGAGAAAAAGAGGGGAAGGAGAACAAAGAACAAATGAGAAAAATAGAAAACAAATAGCAAGACTATATATTAAACTCAAATTTACCAATAAGCATATTAAACGATCAAAAAAAAAAAAACCTCAAAAGACCAAGATAATCAGCTTGGATGAAAATCTAAGATCTAATCGATGCTGCTTTCGGAAGTCAGTTGTCACTTATACTTATCTAGCTGAGTATTCCCAAGCCCAGATCTTTGGGTCTTCGTTAATCTGAGACACTTCTCAGGATTGTTTATGCAAGTGGCAATCCTGAAAAGTGAGATCACACATTGCAACTCTCGTACTACCCCCGATCTTCCTTCACATAAAGAACAAGCTTGCTTACTACTTGATACAAAACTAGAAGATTCCCTAAGCCCAGGTTTTCCCTCCTCTAATACACCCCACTGGGAATGCAAACTCTGCCTCTCTGTCCCTCGGTGTTATCCTGTGAGATTTGGTGCTCAAGGAAACAGCCCAATACTGCTGATGCTTCTGCTCCTGCTTTTGCTGTGAGTAATAAAGTCATTTTTTCTCTCACCCAGGAGATTCTGGTGTCTTCTTTTAGAATCCATGGATGGTATTAGCATAATTTGTGAGCTTGTTTAGTTATTTCAATGGCAGCTCCTCTGTCTCTAGCTCCCATTTTTTTGCCCTGAGCAGGTCAAATTTATTTAAGCAGGATGAAATCTCAATACTGCTTAAATATGAATACACAAATGAGTTAAAATAAGGGAGTTTTAAAAATACACCACATTAATCCAAAGCAAAATAAATTGGAGTGCCCACATACACATTGTTATGCGGATTTCCAAGCAAAACATTTACTGCCAGGAGTAAGAGGGGTCCTTTCCTAATACTAAAGGGGACAATTCATTAAAATGACATAGGATCCTAAGCAACTGTGCACTTACATAAAAGCTGCAAAGTATATAAAGTAAAACCTATAAAACTGTAAGAAGCAATAAATACATTCATAATTATTTTCAGAGATTCCAATAACATTTTCTCAATATCGAAAAACAATTAAAATGCAATCAATAAAGTTATAAGAAACTTGAACAACATAATCCAAGAAATTGACCTAATTGATGCTTATATAATACTTTGTCCAACAACAGCAGTATGTACATTGGCGTAAATTTTTAATGAAAAAAATGGCTTATCACTACTGATTGCTCAGGCATTAAAAGTCTAGTTGAGAAGTATCACCACAGGCCCATGCCCATAAATAAATTTCAGATGACATGCGAAAGTTATTCAAGAGGTACAAACTACCACAATCTACTTAAGAAGAAATTGGTAACTTGAACTGACTATATCTATTAAAAAATTGTAAGGTAAAACCTCCGGAAAAAAAAAAAACAAAAAAACCCAAAAACTCCAGATGGTTTCACTTGTGAATTTTATCAAACATTTAAAGAAGAAATAATACCAATTCCACAAATCTTTTCTAGAAAATAAAAGATGAGAAAATATTTTCCAACTGATTATAGGGGGCCTATATTACCCCAGTATCAAACCTAACACAGATATTATAAAAAGAAAAAAAAAAACTGCACACCGGTATCTTTCATGATGATTGACATACAAATTCTCAACAAAATATGAAAATATTGAATACAGCACTATATACAAAAAAAAAAAATTATACCAAGTGGGCTTTATCCCAGGAATGCAAGTCTGATTCAATATTCTAAAATCAATAAATAAAATGTACGGTATCAATAGAAATAATTAAAAGTATATGATCATGGAAATATATTCAGAAAAAGCTTTTGGTAAAATTTGACATCCATTCATGTTAAATACTCTTGCAAATCTAGGAATAGAAATGAGCATCTTCTGAAAGCTATCTATGAAAATCTTACAGCTAACATCATACTAGCTACCACGGGTTTTCCCTCTTTTTATTTTATGTTAATCACTCACTCTGCAAACATCTGGTTATAGCTATGGACAGGTTGGCATTATAGTCAGTCCTATTTGCTTTTTTTTTTTCTATTCAAATTTTTGAAATGTTGGAAAATATTATATTCAGTTTGGTGGAAATTATAATAGGGAAACTATACTTAAATCCCATTTATATTTGTATGCAACATACACAAAGTATCCACTCCTTAAATCATTAAGGTAAATTTGACTGTCACAGGCATTGTCTTTTTGAAGAAAAGAGATTATTTAACACTGTTACATTTTCTGACAAAGCTAGATATCTTTTCTTATGGTTATTTTGGGCTTCTGTGTTAGAAAGCCTAATGCTCACCCCAACAATTACAACCACGTTCTAATTCCCAGCATTGGACCAGTGAATATGTTAGCTTTCAGGCTAATGAGAATTAAGGTTACAAAAAATTGAGGTTGCAAATCAGCTGACTCTGAGAAGAAAGGTTACCGTAGATTATCTGGGTGAGTCCAGTGTTATCACAAAGGTTTTTAGAAATGGGAAGAGGAGGCAGAAGAGAGAATCAAAGAGATGATGATGTCAGAAAGACTCACTCTGATGTTTTTTACTTTAGACATGGTAGGATGGAACTAAAAGCTAAAGAATAGGAGCAACATCTGTCAATTGGAAAATTCAGCGGAACTGATTTTCTTCCAGGGTCTCCAGGTGAAACACAACCCTCAGACTCCCTGATTTTAGTCAGTAAAATGCATTTTAAACTTCAGATATCCAGATCTGTAAGAAGAGTGTTTTTTAAGCCACTAAATTTGTGGTAATTTGTGGCAACAGGAATTTAATAAAGCGGCAATAGGAAATGAATACAGCTGTCATTCCAATATTTTCTCCAAACCCTTCTGTAATTCATGCACTATAAAACCTTTCAACAAAATTTGTGCATATCTCATTATCAATACTTACCTGGAAAAATCACCTCTATTACAAATATTAGTATCTCTAATGTCTGTCTTTGTTTCTATTTGTCTCTGTCTCTCTCTCTCTACCCATTTTTTCTCTCATTCACACTAAAAAAAATTGTATGATTTGGTCTCCATATTAAGCTCAAGTTCCAACTTCTATTCTTTGTTAACCAAAGACACTGTAAAGTGTCTCTATTTAAGCTCACAAAGCACAAATTATTTGTGTTATTCAACTGGCTGTATCATGTTAACAAATTTGTAATTTTTTCTTTCTTCTGTATTTGTTTTATATGTTTAAGAACATCAGAATTTTGTCTGTGATATAAGTGCAATTTTCTGTTAGCCCCTTGTCTTTTGTATTTATTTTCTTGCATAATCTTTGTATTTTTAGTTACACTCTGACCTGAGCTACTACTCAGGTCACTTAGAGTAGTCAATTTAGAGCAGTTAACTACCACTGCTCTAAGTAGGCACCCCACTTCATTAAAGTGGATGTCTGTGCCATCCCAGTCTAGGGGGTCATTACCCATGAACGTATCCACCCCGTTATTGAGTAAGTCATCTGCATGATGACTGTAGTCCTTCCTAGCATGCTCTCATGAGCCTGAAGGGCAGCATATGCAATAACTAACTGCTTTCTCAGTCTGGAGGGTCACTATCCATGAATGCACCCATCCCACTATTGGGAAGTGATCCGCGTGATGACTGTAGCTTGTCCTGCCCTCCTGTCGTGAGCCTGAAGGGCAGCATATACAGCTGCTAGCTATTTCTCTATCAAGGAATATCAGAGCTCAGCTCCCTTCCATAGTTGGAACCAAAATCCTACTGTCATTCTCAAGCACTCTGTGAGCTGCCACAGGCCCCAACCGAATCCATCTGTGGTCAAATGCACATTCAGCTCAAATGGGCGCCCCTTGTCAACTACCCGTAGGGTTTGTACCTGCTGAATAGCCCATTTGGCACCCAGAGAGGCAGTCTCAGCTGCATCATTTTAATTCTAGGAAAGGGGAACATGGCCGATTCTAAATCTGCAAGAGAATCAGGGATCAGCATAATATCATTAACAAGACCAGGACATATGGTGGGGCTATGCATATAGCCCTGCAGCAACACTGTGAAAGTCCACTGTTGCCCTCCTATGAAGGCAAACTGCTCCTGGCTTTCTAGAAAAGAATGCATTATGCAAGTCCACCACAGAGTGGTACTGTCCCAATTCTGTCATCAAGCGGTCCATCAAATCTGTGATAGATGGGACATCTGCCAAACTATGTAAAATGTCCACCCCCAAAATGTACTCACGTACGGGAGAGACATACACAGTGCATAAGCGGGGAGCCAAGCAGCTGATGATGCCACGGTGCAAAGATACAGGTTTCACTTTCACTGACCGGTCTTCACAACTGTCTATGAAGCCTTGCCTGGAAACGTATCCAGGTACATGGAGCGGTGGATTGCTAAGTCCACATGTGGCCTCCAGTCGTCCGGTGTCCCCCCCAAGCTGGGCACCTCAGCCAGTTCCCTCATTAAACAGAAAAGGCTTTACACCCTCGACTGGCTGCAGCACGCAGTCTTTGAGCTGGAGCACCAGGGAGGGCCTGGGTTGAGCAGCAATGTCCTTCTTCCCCTTGGACATTTTCTGAAATTGCTGCTCCAGAGACAACTGTCTGCACAAAGTTAAGAGTACTTCATTGGGCTGTTCATCGATTTTCTTTCAGTCAACCCTGGCCAGAATCAAATCTATCCACATCCTGAGCGTGTCACTCATTGGGGCCCCCTTTTCTCCTGTGAGAGGAAGATGCGGGCAGGGCATCTTCCCCTTCTTTATGGCACAGACCCCTCGGTCCTGCAGATGGCCTCCTCGGTATCAGACCTAGTGGGGGTCTCCAGCTGAGACGACAGGTCCAGACCTGCATTCACAGCAGCCTGTAATTCCTTTTCCAAGCTCTGTAGCCAGGCCTCGGGGGCCCGCCTATGCCTGAAGAGAAGGTCCCCATGCACAGCAGCTTCTAACTCTTTTTCTGAGCTGTGCAGCTGGGCCTCCAGGCACCTCACCTGTGTCTGGATGGCCCTTACCTCTGCTGCATCCCAGGGACTGGGCGTGTACCGCTTATAGCGCAGTCAAAAATGCCCATCCAACTCTGCCAGCAAAGGCTCATTGCTTCTTAGTGCTCTGTGCTTCCAGCTGCTTCAGCGCCTTCTCCATGCTCACAGGGGACCCAGCTACCGCCACCCAGGTTCCACTGGAG